>NW_011332695.1:0-203552 GCF_000001405.40 Homo sapiens
GAATTCTTTGACTATGTGAATTCTGAGGGATAATAAACCAATAGTTGAGAACCTGTAGCTCATGAAAGAATGTGTTCCATCTCTTCCTTAATTGATCTTCATTAATTGCACCTCAATTACTCTAGTGTCAGGCCTTATTGCCTTTGGTGTTGGTTCTGTTATTAAAATCTATTTTTTAAACTTCCCAATTGGTCCCGCCTGAGTTTAATGGTGCAAACCATCCAATATCTATATAAAAATGTTAACATATTTGACCCCCTATGATGCCTCTTCTACCTTCCTTTTTCTAAATTTAAACTCTCATAGTTCCTTTGGCCATTCCACTGTGAAATACCATTTAGATCCCTCACAATTCTCTTTGTCACTCTCTGAACATACTCTGATCTGAGGAATGAAGCCAAATACTGAGCAACATTTATGCTCTTTGCCTCCTGACTGAGGCAGAGTTCAGTGGAGCTTACCTTGCTTTCATTGTGCACACCACTTGAGCTTCAATCTATGCTGATCACAGAGTCATGGAGTGACTAGAGTCAAATAATTAGATCCTGGGCCTCCTGCCAAACAGCTGTATTATTGGTGCATAATGTCTCTGACTCTCAGTTTTTGCATTTGTGAAATAGAAATAATTGTCCCTAAAATACAGCTTTGTTATTTGACTTAAAGGAATGATGATACCTATAAAGCACCCATAGGTGTTTGGTCATACATCAGGGCTAAGAACCTAAATTTCATTAAGTAAAAATGAAGTATTGGTATATGATTATTTATTCATTTTTTATGAGAAGTAAATTGTCTTTCAACACAGGTCGGGGGATTTTCACCTCAAATCCAATATAAGACAGGAAGTACAGTATCTGGTGCCTTCTTGGTTCTGGACTATGCCATTTAGATATATAACATGCCAACTGATTGTTGCCTTCCCTTCCTCTCCACTGGACGCCTAAGGTCCTCTCTAGAGTTCTTCATTTTGGCATCCATTCATGCTTGTCTACCTGGGTCAGGGACTCTAACTACTCAAATATTCTTTCAATACTTAAATGCCTGGGTCACTTTTGATGATGAATCGAGGGTATAGGACTGGGAGCCCCACCCAACCTGAAAATCAGACTGCTTCTTTAAGGGAGACCCTGATCCACTCCTCATCTTTGGACAGGACCTTCCAACCAGGGCCTCCAACCACCACCACCCATATTCTCTGGCTAACAGTTTTGATTTCTCCCTGGAATTGAGTGCCTGTAGGGAGGGGCGGGCCACCATTTTTACTGTTTGGGCAACTCAGCCATTCCATCCTGCTGGCTTTGGAGAGTTCAAACAGATTGGGTGAAGATAGGATTCCCCAACACAGCACATCTGCTCTACCAAAACATAGCCAGACTGCTTCTTTAAGTGGGACCCCAATCTCTTCCTCATCTCTGGGCAGGACCTCCCAACCAGGGCTTCCAACCACCCCTGCCTGTATTCTCCAGCCAACAGTGATTTGATTTCTCCCTGGGACTGAGCTCCCAGCAGGAGGGGCAGGCCACCATCTTTGCTGTTTGGGCAACTCAGTTGTTCCAGTCTGTGGGCTTTGGAGAGCCCAAACTGACCAGGGTTGAAGCGGTACCCCAGCATGGCACAGCTGCTCCACAAAAGTGTGGTCAGACTGCCTCCCTAAGCATGTCCCTGATCTATTCCTTCTTGCTGGGTAGGACTTCCCAACTAGGGCCTCCAGCCGCTCTCACTGATGTTTTCTGGCTGTCAGAGGTTTGAAAACTTCCTGGGACAAAGCTCCTAGACAGAGGGGTGGGCTGCCATCTTTGCTGTTTTGGCAACTTAGCCATTCCAGCCTCCAGGTTTTGGAGAGCCCAAGCTGACTAAGGGCAGAATTAGTACCCCAGCACAGCACAACTGCTCTATGAAAGCATGGCTAGACTGCTTCTTTAAGCAGGTCCCTGATCCTGTTCCTCCTGACTGGGTGAGGCTTCCCAACCTGGGTCTCCAGCCACCTCCTACAGGTGCATTTGGGCTGGCAACGGGTCTATACCCCTCTGGGATGGAGTCCCCAGAGGAAAGAGCAGGCTGCCATCTTTGCTTTTTTGCAGCCTTCACTGCTGATACTGCCACATACTGAAAAATCCATAGGCAACTAGGGGCTGGAGTGGAAACTCAGCAAAACCCACAGCAGCCCTATAGAAAAGTGGCCAGACTGAAAAAACAAACAAACAAACAAACAAACAACCACCATAAGCTCACAAAGATGAGAAAAAATCAGCACAGGAACACTGAAGATTCAAAAAGCCAGAGTGATCTCTTCCCTCCAAATGACCACATCACCTCTCCAGCAAAGGTCTAGAACTGAGCAGAGGCTGAGATGACTGGAATGACAGAAGTAGACTTCAGATTCTGGATAAAAACAATCTTCACTGAGCCAAAGAAGCATGTTCTAACTCAATGCAAGGAAGCTAAGAATTATGAAAAAACATTGCAAGAGCTAACAGACAAAATAGCCAGTATAGAGAAGAACAAAACCAACCTGATAGAGCTGAAAAACACACTACAAAAATTCCATAATGCAATCACAAGTATTAATAGCAGACTAGACCAAGTGGAGGAAAGAATCTCAGATCTTGAAGATTGTTTTCTGAAATAGGACAGGCAGACAAGAATAGAGAATAAAAATGAAAAAATGAACAAAACCTCCGATAAATATGGGATTATATAAAGAGACTGAATCTACCACTGATTGGTGTACCTGGAAGAGATGAGGAGAATGAAACCAATTTGGAAAACATATTTCAGGATATTAAAGAGGAGAACTTTTCCAACCTAGCTAGACAGGCCAACATTCAAATTCAGGAAATGTAGAGAACCCCAGTAAGATACTCCATGAGAAGATCATCACCAAGACACATAATCATCAGATTCTCCAAGATAAAAATGAAAGAAAAAATGTTAAGGGTAGCCAGAGAGAAAGCCCAGGTCACCTACAAAGGGAAACCCATCAGACTAACAGGGGACCTCTCAGCAGAAACCTTATAAGGCAGAAGAAATTGGGGGCCTATATTCAACATTCTTAAAGAAAAGAAATTTCTACCCAGAATTTCATACCTGGCCAAACTAAGTTTCATAAGTGAAGGAGAAATAAGGTCCTTTTCAGACAAGGAAATACTGAGGGAATTCATAACCACCATACCTGCCCTACAAGAGCTCCTGAAGGAAGCACCAAATATGGAAAGGAAAAACCATTACCAGCCACTACAAAAACACACTGAAGTACCACAGACCAGTGACACTATAAAGCAACCACAAAAACAAGTCTGCAAAAAAACCAGCTAGCATCATCATGACAGGATCACATCCACACATAATAATACTAACCTTAAATGTAAATGGGCTAAATTCCCCAATTAAAAAACATAAAAAGGCAAGCTGGATAAAGAACCAAGACCCAATAATATGCTGTCTTCAAGAGACCCATCTCATATGCAATGACACACATAGGCTCAAGAGAAAGGGATGGAGGAAAATTTACCAAGAAAACAAAAAAACAGAAAAAAGCACGAGTTGTAATCCTAGTTTCTGAAAAAACAGACTTTAAACCACAAAGATCAAGAAAGACAAAGAAAGGCATTACATAATGGCAAAGGGTTCAATTCAATAAGGCTAACTATCCTAAATAAATATATATGCACTCAACGTAGGAGCACTCAAATTCAGAAATCAAGTTCTTAGAGATCTTCAAAGAGACTTAGACTCCCACACAATACTAGTGGGAGACTTTAACACTCCACTGACAATATTACACAGATCATTGAGACAGAAAATCAACAGATATTCAGGACCTGCCATCAACTCTGGATCAAATGAACCTGAAAAATATCTACAGAACTCTCCACCCTAAAACAACAGATGGTACATTTTTCTCATGGCCCCATGGCACTTACTCTAAAATTGAAAAAGTAAGCAGAAGTAAAATACTCCTCAGCAAATGCAAAAGAACTGAAGTCATAACAGTCTCTCAGACCACAGTGCAATCAAATTAGAACTCAAGACTAAGAAGCTCACTCAAAACCATACTATTACATGGAAATTGAATAACGTGCTCCTGAATGACTTTTGGGTAAATAACGAAATTAAGCCAGAAATCAAGAAGTTCTTTGAAACTAATGAGAACAAAGATACAACATACTAGAATCTCTGGGACACAGCTAAGGCAGTGTTAAGAAGGAAATTTATAGCACTAAATGCCCACATGAAAATGCTAGAAAGATCTCAAGTTAACAACCTAATGTCACAACTAAAAGAACTAGAGAACCAAGAGCCAACAAAATCCAAAGCTAGCAGAAGACAAGAAATAATCAAAACCAGAGCTGAACTGAAGGAGATTGAGACACAAAAAACCATTCAAAAGATCAACAAATCCAGGAGCTGTTTTTTTGAAAAAATTAATAAAATAGGTAAACTGCTAGCTAGAATAATAAAGAAGAAAGAGAGAAGATTCAAATAAACACAATCAGAAATTATAAGGGGGATATTACCACTGACCCCACAGAAATACAGCCTCTCTCTCCTCCTGCAAGCCAAGATGTCAAAAGGAAAGAAGGCCAAGGGGAAGAAGGTGGCTCTGGCCCCTGCTGTCATGAAGTAGGTGGCCAAGAAAGTGGTGAATCCCCTGTTTGGGAAAAGGCCTAAGAATTTTGGCACTGGACAGGACATCCAGCCCAAAAGAGACCTCACCTGCTTTGTGAAATGGCCCCACTATATCAGGTTGCAGTGGCAGAGAGCCATCCTTTTTAAGTGGCTGAAAGTGCCTCCTGCAATTAACCAGTTCACCCGGCCCTGGACCACCAAACAACTACTCAGCTGCTTAAGCTGGCCCACAAGTACAGACCAGAGAGCAAGAGAAGAAGCAGAGGTGGTTGGCCCAAGCTGAAAAGGAAGCTGCCAGCAAAGGGGATGTCCCCACTAAGAGACCACCTGTTCTTTGAGCAGGAGTTAACACTGTCACCACCTTGGTGGAGAACAAGAAAGCTCAGCTGGTGGTGATTGCAGATGACGTGGATCTGGACGTCTACTCCACAGGAAGACCTGCACCACTGTCGCCTTCACACAGGTTAACTTGGAAGACAAAGGAGCTTTGGCTAAGCTGTTGTAAGCTATCAGGACCAATTACAATGACAGATACGATGAGATCTGCCATCAATGGGGAAGTAATGTCCTGGGTCCCAAGTCTGTGGCTCACATTGCCAAGCTCAAAAAGGCAAAGGCTAAAGAACTTGCCACTAAACTGGGTTAAATGTACACTGTTGAGTTTTCTGGACATAAAAATAATTAAAGTAATACAAATTTTCCTTCAAAAAAAGAAATACAAACAGCCATCAGAGAATATTATAAACACCTCTATGTACATAAACTAGAAAATCTAGAAGAAATGAATAAATTCCTAAACACATACATACACCCAAGACTGAACAAGGAAGAAACTGAATCCTTGAACAGATCAATAAACAGTTCTGAAATTGAGGCAGTAATAAATAGTCTAAATAAATAAATAAAGCCCAGTACCAGACAGATTCACAGCTGAATTTTACCAAATGTTCAAAGAAGGGCTGATACCATTTCTACTGAAACTATTCCAAAACATTGAAAAGGAGGGACTCTTTCCCAACTCATTCTAGGAGGCCAGCATCATCCTGGCACCAAAACCCAGCAGGATAAAAATCACATGATCATCTCAATAGATGCTGAAAATGCATTTAAACAATTCAAGTTCCTTTCAAGATTAAAATGCTCAACAAATTACGAATGGCAAGAATGGTCCCTTAACACAATAAAGGCCATATTTGACAATCCCACAGAAAATCCTTAGATCCCACAGAAAATTCTGATTTTCTCCACAATCAGGAGCAAGACAAAGATGTACACTATCACCACATTTATTCAATGTAGCAATGAAAGCCCTAGCCAGAGCAATCAGGCAAGAAAAAGATATAAACGCCATCCAAACCAGAAAGGGAGAAGTAAAGTTACCCCATTTGCATAACACATGATTAAACATATATAAGAAAAAAATAAAGATGTCAGACAAAAACAAAATTTTACAACTAAGAAATAAATTTAGCTAAGTTGCAGAATACAAAATCAACATGCAAAAATCAGTTGCATTTTTTACACCAATGACAACCTATCAGAGAAAGAAATCAAGAGTTTGCTGAAAGAAATAAGATCTGGACTGGCATGGTAGCTCATGCCTGTAATCCCAGCACTTTGGGAGGCTGAGGCAGGTGGATCACGAGGTCAGGAGTTCAATATCAGCCTGGCCAATATGGTAAAACTCCATCTGTACTAAAACTACAAAAATTAGCCAGGCGTGGTGGCACTGTAGTCCCAGCTACTTCAGGAGACTGAGGCAGAAGAATTGCTTGAACCTGAGAGATGGATGTTGCAGTGGGCCAAGACTGCACCACTGCACTCCAGCCTGGGTGACAGAGTGAGACTCCATCTAAAACAAAAAACAAAAAAAACAAGGCCAGGTGCAGTGACTCATGTCTGTAATCCCAGCATTTTGGGAGGACAAGCTGGGCAGATCAAGAGGTCAGGAGTTCGAGACCAGCCTGGCCAATATGGTGACACCCCATCTCTACTAAAAATACAAAAATTAGCCAGGCATGGTGGCATGTGCACGTAGTCCCAGCTACTCAGGAGGCTGAGGCAGAAGAATCGCTGGAACCCAGGAGGCGGAGGTTGCAGTGAGCCAAGATCTCACCACTGCACTCCAGCCTGGGTGACAGAGTGAGATTCAGTCTCAAAAAAAAAAAAGAAAAGAAAAAGAAAAAAAGAAATAAGATATACCATTAGATAGGTCAGTAGGGCAGTAGAGTGACTGTAGTTTACAATAATCTATTGTACACTTCAAAAGTCTAGAAGGGAATTCAAATGGTTTTAGCACTAAAAAAAGACAAAATTTAAGGTGATGGATATTCCACGTACACTGATTCACTGATTTGACCTTTACAAACGATATTAATCTATTAAGTTATTACATGTACCCCAAACAATGTACATCTATTATGGATGAGTTAAAAAGAGGTAAAAAAGAAATTAAAAAAGCAAACTCATTTAGGATCACATCAAAAAGAATAATATACTTAGGGTTACTTTTTTTTTTTAATTTTTCTTGAGACAGTCTCACTCTGTTGCCCAGGCTGGAGTGCAGTGGTACAATATCAGCTCACTGCAACTGCCACCTCCCAAGCTCAATCGATTCTCCCACCTCAGCCTCCTGAGCAGCTGGGACTATAGGCATGCTCCAACATATCCAGCTAATTTTTGTATTTTTAGTAAAGGCGGGTTTTTGTCATGTTGGCCAGGCTGGTCTCAAGCTCCTGACCTCAGGTGATCCACTCCCCTAGGCCTTCCAAAATGCTGGGATTATAGGCATGAGCCACTGTGCCAGGCCTACCTAGGGTTACTTTTAATCAAGGAGGGAAAAGACCTCTACACTGAAAGCTACAAAGCATTAAGAAAGAAATTGAAGAAAACACAGATAAATGACCCCAAATAGTAAAACAATTTTAAACAAGAAAGGTAAGGCTGGGGGCATCACACTTTCTGATTTCAAATTACATTAACTAAGCTATAGTAATCAAAATAGTATGGTGCTGGCACAAAAATAAACCCACAGAAATGCAAATCAACACCGTAGTGACTTATCACCTCACACCATTAGGATGACTACTATCAAATAAAAACAGAAAATAACAAATGTGGATGTGCAGATATTGAAACCCTTGTGCATTATTTGTAAAAACGAAAAATGGTGCAGGCAGCCACTGTGGAAAACAACGTGGCAGTTCCTCAAAAAATCAAAATTAGAATTATCATATAATCTAGCAATTTCACTTTTTGGTATATACTCTCCTAAACTGAAAAACAATTGGGTATATACCCAAAATATTGATGTATTTGTACAGCTGTGTTCATAGCAGTATTCTTCATAATAGCCCAAAGGTGAAAGCAACCCATGTGTCCATGGATAGATAAATGGATAAACAAAAAATGTGGTATATATATATATAAGAAAATATTTTTCAGTCTTAAAAGGGAAGGAATCAGTGTGAGGATGGGTGGATTAAAAACAAAAAGAAGGAAGGAAATTCTGAGGTATGCTACAACATGGATGAGCCTTGAGGACATTATGCTACATGAAATGAGCCAATCACAAAAAGACAAATACTGCATGATTCTACATGTAGAAGTTACTTAGAGTAGTCAAATTCATAGAGACAGAAAGTAGAATGGTGATTTACTGAGGCTGAAAGTGAGAGGGGAATGAAGAGTTACTGTTTACTAGTTACAGTTTCAGTTTCAAAAGATGAAGCGTTCTGAAGATAGATGGTGGTGATGGTTGTATAACAACGTGAATTTTTTTTTGGTTGTTTGTTTCTTTGTTTATGGAGTTTCGCTCTTGTTGCCCAGGCTGGAGTGCAATGGCACGATCTCGGCTCACTGCAACCTCCGCCTCCCCAGCTCAAGTGATTCTCCTGCCTCAGTCTCCCAAGTAGATGAGATTACAGGCATGTGCCACCACATCCAGCTAATTTGAATGTTCTTAACATCACTGAACTTTACACTTAAAATGGTTAAGTTGGACATTTTTGTTATATGTATTTTACCACAATTAAAATCAATTTTAAAAAGTATATATCCCCAGAGGTCAACAGAAAGACTAGAGAGCACAGAAATAAACCCATGCATATATGGTTAACTAATTTTAGACAAGGTTACTGAGCACACACAACAGCAAAAGGATAATCTCCATAGTAAGCACTTTTGGGAAAACTGGATATGCACATGTAAAACAAAGAAATTGTACTCATTTTAAACCATTCTCAAAAACCAACTCAAAATTGATTAAGACCAAAACATGATACCTAAAACCGTAAAACTCCTAGAGGAAAATACAGGGGGAAATCTGCTTGACATTGACCTTGGCAATTATTTTTTGGATTTGACAGTAAAAGCTCAGGTGAGAAAAGCAAAAATAAGTTACAGCAAACTAAAATTATTCTGCAGAACAAAGGATACAATCAACAAAATAAAAAGGCAACTTATGGTTTGGGGGAAAATATTTGTAAACCACATATCTGATAAGAGATTAATATCCAAAATATATAAATAAAGAACTTACACAACTCAATAGCAAAAAAAACTCCAAATAACTAGATTAAAAATTGGGCAAAAGATCTGAATAAACATTTTTCAAAAGAAGACATAAAAATGACCAACAGGTATATATAAAAACATGCTTAAATTACTAGAAAATCTAGAAGAAATGGATAAATTCCTCGACACATACACCCCCCCAAGACTAAACCAGAAAGAAGTTGAATCCCTGAATAGACCAATAACAGGCTCTGAAATTGAGGCAATAATTAATAGCCTACCAACCAAAAAAAGTCCAGGACCAGACCGATTCACAGCCGAACTCTACCAGAGGTACAAGGAGGAGCTGGTACCATTCCTTCTGAAACTATTCCAATCAATAGAAAAAGAGGGAATCCTCCCTAACTCATTTTATGAGGCCAACATCATCCTGATACCAAAGCCTGTCAGAGACATAACAAAAAAAGAGAATGTTAGAGACCAATATCCCTGATGAACATCAGTGCTAAAATCCTCAATAAAATACTGGCAAACCGAATCCAGCAGTACATCAAAAAGCTTATCCACCATAATCAAGCTGGCTTCATCCCTGGGATGCAAGGCTGGTTCAACATATGCAAATCAATAAATGTAATCCAGCATATAAACAGAACCAAAGACAAAAACCATGTGATTATCTCAATAGATGCAGAAAAGTCCTTTGACAAAATTCAACAGCCCTTCATGCTAAAAACTCTCAATAAATTCGGTACTGATGGGACGTATCTCAAAATAATAAGAGCTATTTATGACAAACTCACAGCCAATATCATACTGAATGGGCAAAAACTGGAAGCATTCCCTTTGAAAACTGGCACAAGACAGGGATGCCCTCTCTCACCACTCCTATTCAACATAGTGTTGGAAGTTCTGGCCAGGGCAATCAGGCAGGAGAAAGAAATAAAGGGTATTCAATTAGGAAAAGAGGAAGTCAAATTGTCCCTGTTTGCAGATGACATGATTGGATATTTAGAAAGCCCCATCATCTCAGCCCAAAATCTCCTTAAGCTGATAAGCAACTTCAGCAAAGTCTCAGGATACAAAATCAATGTGCAAAAATCACAAGCATTCTTATACTCCAATAATAGACAAACAGAGAGCCAAATCATGAGTGAACTCCCATTCACAATTTCTTCCAGGAGAATAAAATACCTAGGAATCCAACTTACAAGGGACTAGAAGGACCTCTTCAAGGAGAACTACAAACCACTGCTCAACAAAATAAAAGAGGACACAAACTAATGGAAGAACATTCCATGCTCATGAATAGGTAGAATCAATATCGTGAAAATGGCCACACTGACCAAGGTAATTTATAGATTCAATGCCATCCCCATTAAGCTACCAATGACTTTCTTCACAGAATTGGAAAAAACCACTTTAAAGTTCATATGGAACCAAAAAAGAGCCCGCATTGCCAAGACAATCCTAAGCCAAAAGAACAAAGCTGGAGGCATCATGCTACCTGACTTTGAACTATACAACAAGGCTACGGTAACCAAAACAGCATGGTATTGGTACCAAAACAGAGATACAGACCAATGGAACAGAACAGAGTCCTCAGAAACAACACTACACATCTACAACCATCTGATCTTTGACAAACCTGACAAAAACAAGCAATGGGGAAAGGATTCCCTATTTAATAAATGGTGCTGGGAAAACTGGCTAGCCATATGAGGAAAGCTGAAACTGGACCCCTTCTTTACACCTTATATGAAAATTAATTCAAAATGGATTAAAGACTTAAATGTTAGACCTAAAACCATAAAAACCCTAGAAGAAAACCTAGGCAATACCATTCAGGACATAGGCATGGACAAGGACTTCATGTCTAAAACACCAAAAGCAATGGCAACAAAAGACAAAATTGACTAATGGGATCTAATTAAACTAAAGAGCTTCTGCACAGCAAAAGAAACTACCATCAGACTGAACAGGCAACCTACAGAATGGGAGAAAATTTTTGCAATCTACTCATCTGACAAATGGCTAATATCCAGAATCTACAAAGAACTCAAACAAATTTACAAGAAAAAAACAAACAACCCCATCAAAAAGTGGGCAAAGGATATGAACAGACACTTCTCAAAAGAAGACATTTATGCAGGCAACAGACACATGAGAAAATGTTCATCATCACTGGCCATCAGAGAAATGCAAATCAAAACCACAATGAGATACCAGCTCACACCAGTTAGAATGGTGATCATTAAAAAGTCAGGAAACAACAGGTGCTGGAGAGGATGTGGAGAAGTAGGAACACTTTTACACTGTTGGTGGGACTGTAAACTAGTTCAACCATTGTGGAAGACATTGTGGCGATTCCTCAGGGATCTAGAACTAGAAATACCATTTGACCCAACAATCCCATTACTGGGTATATACCCAAAGGATTATAAATCATCCTGCTATAAAGACACATACACACGTATGTTTATTGCAGCACTATTCACAATAGCAAAGACTTGGAACCAACCCAAATGTCCATCAATGATAGACTGGTTTAGGAAAATGTGGCACATATACACCATAGAATACTATGCAGCCATAAAAAAAGATTTCATGTCCTTTGTAGGGACATGGGTGAAGCTGGAAACCATCATTCTCAGCAAACTATCACAAGGACAGAAAACTAAACACCACATGTTCTCACTCATAGGTGGGAATTGAACAATGAGATCACTTGGACAGAGGAAGGGGAACATCACTCACTAGGGCCTGTCGTGGGGTGGGGGTAGTGGGGAGGGATAGCATTAGGAGATATACCTAATGTAAATGACAAGTTAATGGGTCAGCACACCAACATGGCACATGTATACATAGTAACAAACCTGCACGTTGTGCACATGTACCCTAGAACTTAAAGTATAATTTAAAAAAAAGAAAAAAAACAGACTTGTTGATATTGCTATTCATCAAGGAAATACAAATCAAAACCACAGTGAGATATCACCTCATACCCATTAGGATGGCTATTATAAAAGACAAGTGATAACAAGTGTTTGTGAGGGTATGGAGAAAAAGGAACCTTGTGCACTGTTGGTAGGATTCTAAACTGGTGTAGACATTTTGGAAACAGTAAGAAAGTTCCTCAAAAAATTAAAAATAGAACTACATATGACCCAAAAGTCCCTTTGCTGGGTATATACTCAAAGGAAATAAAATCAGTGCCTCATGGAGACACCTGAGCCACCATAAATGGATAAACAAAATGGTGTGTGTGTTTGTGTGTGTGTCTGTGTACACACACACACAATGGAATATTATTCAGCCTTTTAAATATACATATTAAATATTCAGCCTTTTAAATATATATTATATACATACAGACACACACACACTACACACACATGCACACAATGGAATATTATTCAGCCTTTTAAAGGAAGGAGATCCTGCCATTTGCCACAACATGGATGGTCCTGAGGACATTATGCTAAGCAAAATAAGCCAAACACGGAAAGAAAAGTATTGCATGATCTCATTTATATATACGAAATCTTTTTACAATGTCAAATACACAGAAACAGAGAGCAGATTGGTGGGTACCAGGAGGAGGGTGTAGTAGGTAATGGCAGATGTTGGTCAAAGGCTAAAATGTTGCAGCTGTTTAGGATAAGTTGAGCAATCTAATGTACAATAGGAAGACTACAGCTAATAATATTATACCCACAAAATTTGTTAAGGGAGTAGACTTTTTTGTTTCTTTATTTTTCACTTTTATGGGTGCATAGTAGGTGTTTATATTTATGGAATATATTAGATATTTTGATACAGGCATACAATGTGTAATAATCATATCAGGGTAAATGGGGTATTCATCACATTAAGCATTTATCATTTCTTTGTGCTACAGATTCCAATTCTACTTTTTAAGTTTTATTTTAAAATGTACAGTAAATTATTGTTGACTATAGTTACCCTGTTGTGCTGTCAAATACTAGATCCTATTCATTCTGTTTAACTATATTTTTATACCCATTAAACATGTCCCCTTCCACCCACCTTCACTACTCTTCCCAGCTTCTGGTAACCATCATTCTGCCAAGAGAGTAGGTTTTAGGTGCTCCAACCAAGAAAAAAAAAGATAACTATGTAAGATGATGCATGTGATAACTTGCTTAATTGTTACAGTTATATTATGTACATGGGTAACAAAATATGGTGTATAACTTAAACATATACAATTTTTTAACTCATAAAACAGAAGAAAAATGTTGTACCACTTCTTTCTGGTTTTATAGTTTTGGATGAGAAACTCATTGTCTTTCAAAATGCTTTTCTCTTCTAAGTAATATGTCCTTTCCGTCTGGCTGCTTTCAAGATTTTTCTGTCTTTATTTTTCAAAAGTTTAATTAGGATGTGTCTTGTTGTGGATTTCCTTGGGTTTATCCTATCTGAGATTTGCTCACCTTCCTGAATCTGTAGCTCTATATATCTTTGACCAATTTGGAATGTTTTCAATCATTACTTCTTTGATTACTTATTGAATACCCCTTTCCTTCTGAGATTCTCAGGATATAAATATTAGCTCTCTTTTACTGTCTCATAGGTTCATGTGTTCTGTTCTTTTTTATTGTTCCAATCTATTTTGTTTATTGTTCAGAACAGGTAAATTCTATTCATCTTTATTCAAGTTCACTGATTTTGTCCTCTGTATCTCTATTCTGCTACTGAGTTCATCCAGCAAGTTTGTTGTTTTTTAATATTTCTATGAGTATGTTTTGCAGTTTTATAATTTCCATTTGGTTCTTATTTGTAACTTCTATTTATTTGCTGAAATTCTCTATTTTTATTTCTTTCAAGAAAATTAATTATTGCTTCTTGAATCATTTTTTATGGCTGCTTTAAATCTTTGTTAGAAAATTTCAATATCCGCTTCATCTTAGTCTTAGTGTTGGCATGTATTGCCTTTTCTCATTCAAGTTGTGTTTTCCTTGGAATGAAAATTGATATTTGACCATATCATGGACATTCTGAATATCATATTATGAGACTCTAAATCTCTGAATCGTGCCCAGTCTTTTTCAGCAGTCATCCTTGTTGAGCTGTAGCTGAAACTTCCAGGTATGTTCCAGTCTGCTGAAAATGGAGAGCTGACTCATACTACTTTCTTCCAGATGGGTGAGGGGAATGTTCAGCTCCCCACTGCTCTGTTGACTTCATCCCAGTGAAGGGCATTGATTTGTATGCCTCCTTACCTTTCAGGTCCTGCTTCCTGTTGGGACCAATTGACCCTAAGGAAAGGTGAGGTGGCTAGCTGGTTCACACTACCTCATTGCAGGGAGGGTTGGAAGCTCAGCTCCTCACTGGACCACCACTCACATTGGAGCAGGAGAGTCATGATGGGGGCTGTAGAATACCAGCTAGCCCTACCTCACACCATCTCATTAAGTCTTGTTGCTGCCAGGTGACAGTGGAGGCTCCTTTCTCCACTGAACCCTGCTGACATTACCCTGGCAGGGGAATCAGAGTCGGGGCAAGGTGAAGATCAGCATGAGATGGAACAGGGACTCCTCTTAGGGATCCATGGGCCCCCTCAAGCATAGAAATAACAGAAAAAAAAATTGAGTTTTTTCAAGGGAAATTTCAGACACCTAGCTAGCTCTGAGAAGTAAATGAGAAACTTGATATGAAAGAAAGTAATAGTGGCGTAAAACAATAGCCAAGGAAGTTAGAATTACGGGATGTTTGGTTCTCCTGTAGAAACTTAAGATAGCATCTTAACAACATATGTCCCTGGGTTGTTTTTCAGAAACCTGGACCCCCACCAGATGAAAAATTCCATCTGCTGGCACATAGACCTCAGATAAGGAGGAAATGAGGACTGAAGTCTGACCACAGCCATGCTTTGCTCTAAATTTCTTCCTGATGGGCATGGGAGGGGTCACACTCCAAGGCCAGAACTAATATTCTTTTCTGCTAATCCCAAAGTTTTAAACAAAGTTTTGCCTCCTGAACCAACTGCAAATCAGAAAATCTTCGAGTCCACCTATGATCTGTTCCCTATCTCCACTTCAAGATCTGCCACCCTTTTAGGTCAAACCAATGTATTGCCTCCATATTCCGATTTATGACTTTGCCTGTCAACTCTGCCTCCCCACCTTTAAAAATCCTTACTTGCAAGCCATTGGAAAGATCGGGACTTGAGCAAGGGCTGCTTGATTCTCCTTGCTTGGCACTCTGCAAATAAATGCTCTCCTTTCTCCTGCTATAAACCTGGTGTAGATGTTTGGCGTTATTGTGCAGGGCAAGTGGATCCCAGTTCAGTTGGAAAACAGGCTCCCTGATTGGCCCCACTGAAACATAATTTTTCCATTGGTTTTTGTCTAGAGTAAGGCAGGAAGTGCCTAAATGTTTTCTTTTCTCTCCAGGCCACCCTTTTCCCAGTTCTTTGACCAGGAGAGAACAGTCTTTTCTTACAGTTGTTTTTTGTTTTTTGCTTTTGTCTGTGTCTGTTGGCAGTCCTAAGTTGGAATTTTCTAAAGGATCCTGTCCTGGGTATGTGGAAGCAATAAGGAAACCTCAAAACTTCATTGCTATGTTGTTTTTCAAGTCCAATAGTTCCTAGGCAGTTAACCCTTTTTATTCCACCTTTGAAAGTCTTCCTACTTGTTTTTGTGCTACATATAGGGATTTTTTGGTAATAAGAGGAAGGGCCTGGAAGAAATGGGGCTACTTCAGCATCAAGGTAATCAAAAATCTATGCCTTCAAACATGTAGAAATATGCAGTTTCTTATGTATTTCATGCCACAAAGTTGGTGTAATACAAATTAGCCTGCCATATCCAGATATAGAAGTCTCTATACTTACTGTGAACAGAAAGGGTTTGCTAGAAAGAAATGTGTCAGAGACAAATGAAAGTTCATGGTGAAGTGTTCTCAAATTGCCCTTCACTCCACAGGAAGTATGTGCCTTAAAAAAAGCCAAAGTATTATGAGAATATTTGTGCCATTGATCTTTTGCTTAACCTTACGTGCCTCAGTTACATCCTTTGTAATACAATAATTTTTAAAAAAACTTTAAAGAGTTATTCCAAGAAATAATTAGGTTAATACTTTACTTGTAAACAGTGATAACAGTGCCCAGAATGTAGTAGACAGTTTAATCCTGTTACTACTATTACTAACATTTGACTTCTAGATCTTTTAGCTCTCCAACCATGCAAATGCATAAAGGAGCAACTATTTAGTAAAGTGTGAATTCAAACCTTTTAGTAAACTAGGCTGAGATTCTAGTTGCTAATCTAGGTTATAAAAGTGTCAAGGAAGTGATGTAGATGTGCTGAGGATGGGTTTGTTGTAAAAGCCTGTCTCTGTTATAGCAGGATCTCACCTAAACATTCAGTCACTTGAATCAGGCAGAAGCATTCAGCTGATCAGTGGCCAGGATTCAAAGTCAGCAGAGTCAGCAGTTCAAGCAGGAACAAATGCTTCATTCAGCCATCCATTAATTCATTAATTTTTTCTTTATCTCTCCATTTTAAATATGCAAGTATGCTTATTAAGTTCTAGAAACTGTTTGAAAATTAGGTACATGGGGAGAAGAAAAGATGTGGTAGATTCTACATGAAACTTTCAACACTGTCAAGAAAGCAAACACTAAATCTGTATCTACACGTGCATTGAGTATTCTCAAGAGAAGAGATAGGGTTCTATGTAATATCATTATTTGAAGTTCTACTAAAATAACAAGCATCATGAGAAAGTATTTTTCTAACAAGCTCTCTCTTCAGAGCCCCCTTAATCTCCTTGTTCCTGAGGCTGTAGATCAGGGGGTTCAACATGGGAATCACCACTGTGTACAACACAGACACCACCTTGTTCTGGTCAGTTGAGTAGCTAAAATTGGGCATCACATAAATGAAGGTAATGGTCCCATAGAACAGGGTAACCACAGTGAGGTGGGAAGTGCAGGTGGAGAAGGCCTTGTGGTGCCCCTCAGTGGAGCGCATCTTCAGGATGGTGATGAGGATATAGATGTAGCAGACGGCTATGACACACACAGTGACCACAATGATGGATCCAGAAGAAAATGAGAGAACAACTGTGGAGACACTGATATCAGAACAGGAGAGTTCAAGTAAGGGAGCGAAATCACAGAAAAAATGATTGACTTGATTTGGTCCACAGAAGAGTAAAAAATAGAAGGAAGTAGTATAGGAGACAGCAATGAGAAAACCAGCTATGTAAACTACTAAGAGTAGCTGGACACTGACTTGTGTGGACATTTTGGTTGAATAAAGCAGTGGACTGCAAATTGCCACAAAGCGGTCATAGGCCATGGCAGCCAGAAGGACGCATTCGACTGTTGCAAAGAAAGCCGCTGAACCAAGCTGGATGGCACATCCAAGGTAGGAGACTGTATTTCTCTCCACCAGGAAGTTTACAAGCATGTTGGGTGTGACAGAAGATGAATAGGCCATGTCAGCAAAAGCCAAGTGGCTCAGAAAGAAATACATAGGATGATGGAGCTGAGAAGAAATTCTGATAAGAATAATTATGCTGAGATTACCAGATAGGATGATCATGAAGAGGATGACTCGAAGGATTGGATCATCTGTTAAGCCCAATAGGATGAACCCCGTCAGAGCGGTGTGATTCCCGTCCTTCAGGGAATTCATGAGACGAAGTAGCTGCTGACTAAATGAACCCTAATGAGAACAGCACATTAAAATGTTATAAATTTGATGGCTTCATCTTCATTAATATATACATGAAGGTTAATATGAACAGATGTATCATTCAAGGAAAGTTCAGACTTTTTTTTTTTTACCTTAGGGTTTCATTGTTTATGTATTTATGTGTAATCAGTCTTTCTATATTTTAAAATCTGTTTTAGAACACCAAAAAATTGCTTCAAATAATGTATATCCTTTTCAATTTGTATTTTTAATGAAATATATTTAAAGTTGCTTTAAAGAGAAAGATTTTAAAACATAAGACTTATAAGAATAATAAAAGGTATGGTACATATAACAAAAATGATTAAAATATATTAATGTAAGATTAATGAACACAAATATTAGCTAACATTTACTGAATGCCTATCAAATTACTGGCTCAGGGTTAAGAATTTTATCTATATGCATATAATATATAACATATTATTGTATTATATACATTATATATACAGAGATACGTATTTTAATTTCCATAAAATAATATGAAGCACTTTTATTATTACCATTTTATAGATAGGGAAACTAAGTTTGCAAATGTTAAGTAATTTACCTAAGGTTACACAGCAAGTGGTAGAATCTGGATCAGAATCCCACATAGTTTGAATCCAGTCAATTTCCATAATAACTATGTTATTAATGTAATTTGTATAAAATTGTATAATTTGTATAAAATTGTAAAACCATTACATTTATAGCATAGTTGGAGAATTTTTACCATGAAATCTGGTACACTTGAAAATCAGTAGATAACAGATTAACATTTCAGTTCTCTGAAATGTACAACTGATGTATAAAAGAGACGCCTAGCTAGTTACATAGTTTACAATGTTTATCAGTTAAACAACACTAGTTTTTTAAAAGAGACATACAATTTTCTTCATAGGACAGGGAAGAAATGGGAATTTCAAGTTATGCTTATGAATGAAGTCACCTAGTATAAATTGATTAATGACTTTTATTATTTCCAATTAAAATATTATTATATCAAGTAAGTTGAAATACCAATTTAACCATTATGCAAAATGTTGTATGATTAATATTCAGAACATAATTAAGATATTTAGTCAAACCAAATCTTTTCCTAGTGTAACAATGTTAACAAATTGAAGTATTATAGAATCAAATAATATTATTTTGGACATAATATACAGAAGAACAAAGTTTCAGCCTAGAAATATAAAAAGTTTACCAAGGGCCACTCTGTTGATGGCCAGCTTGACCCTCATCTCCAAGTTTTCTGGCCTTATAGCCTTATCTTTCTCCGAAATGTCTAGCTGGGCCAGCCATGGTGGCTCACATTTGTAATCCCAATACTTTGGGAGGCCGAGGTGGACAGATCACTGGAGTCCAGAAATTTGAGACCAACCTGTGCAACATGGCAAAACTTCATCTCTAAAAATGAGCCAGGCACGGTGGTGTGCACCTGTAGTCTCAGTTACTTAGGAGGCTGAGGTGGGAGGATCACCTGAGCCTGGGAGGTCAAGGCTGCAGTGAGCCATGATTACACCACTACACTCTAGCCTCAGTGATAGAGTGAGACCCTGTCTCCAAAAAAAAAGTGTCTTGGGCCAGGCATGGTGGCTCACATCTGTAATCCTAGCACTTTGGGAGGCTGAGATGGGTGGATCACTTGAGGTCAAGAGTTCGAGGCCAGCCTGGCCAACACCGTGAAACCCCATCTGTACTAAAAATACGAAAATTAGCTGGCATAGTGGTGCATGCCTATAATCCCGGCTACTCGGGAGCCTGAGGCAGGAGAATCACTTGAACCTGGGAGGCAGAGGTCGCAGTGAGCCAAGATCACAGCACTGCACTCCCAGCCTGGGTGACAAAGTGAGACTCACACTTAATTAATTTATATTAGCATTACAGCTGAGTGCCAAGTTTAGACGGCAGTGAAAGACCACGTGAGTTTCTGTTCTTATGGGTGGATAAATGAAGAATCTTGGTAAATTGAATCATGCCTGTTAACTCACACTAAATTGATGGCAGAAACTTAATTTAATTCACTAAAGTTACTTGCTAGCTGACTGCAAGATTACATCTGTTTTGTTTCTTAATTATGACTTGTGTGTACACATACAACTTTAGAGAATAAAGTGTTCTCAAATGAAACTCATTACACCAGATTCACCCACAAATCGAAAGTCTTACCTCATGAAATAAAAATTTAATCATCTGGCCGGGCGCGGTGGCTCAAGCCTGTAATCTCAGCACTTTTGGAGGCCGAGTCGGGCAGATCACGAGGTCAGGAGTTTGAGACCAGCCTGGCCAACATGGTGAAACCCCATCTCTAAAAATACAAAAATTAGCTAGGCTCAGTGGTGCACGCCAGTAGTCCCAGCTACTTGGGAGGCTGAGGCAAGAGAATCGCTTGAACCCGGGAACTGGAGGTTGCAGTGAGCTGAGATCGCATCACTGCACTCCAGCCTGGGCGACAGGGTGAGACTCCAACTCAAAACAAACAAACAAAAAATGTAATCATCTTACACTTATAAATTTAGATTCCTTGTTATTATATAGTAGCCACACTGTATTATTTTTTGCCTTTGGGGATAAATCTCTGAAGAGTCTAGAGACTCAAATGTGAATTAAAAGCAGCAGGAATCATTATCACATCCTCAAGTGAATATTGAGCAGTTCAACTCACAAAAACACACATAGTCTTTAAGAGGTTGTCAATTCTCAGATGATCAATTTTTTTCATTTTGTCTGAGGGGTGGTGCACTTTCATTTGATAGTTAATGGGAGTATAATATAATGCATTATCTCACAGCCAAATATTGGTTCTAAGTTTACTTTGATACTTCAGGTTAAAGAATACTAAACTGCAAATATAAAACAGTAAACAGTTTCATTCATTCAACAAATGTTCATTTTCTAAGTATTTTGTAGTGTTAGAGAACGTTCAAATAAACACAATTAGGAACAACAAAGGAAATATTACTACTGACCACATAGAAATACAAATAATCATCAGAGACTTCTATGAACACCTCTATGTCCACAAACTAGAAAATCTGGGAAAAAAATGGATAAATTCCTGGACACATACACTCTCCCAAGACTGAATCAGGAAGAAATGGAATATCTGAGCGGACAAATAGCAACCTCAAAATGAAAACAGCCAACTATGAAACCCACAGCCAACATCATACTGAACAGGCAAAAGCTGGAAGCATTGCCCTTGAAAACTGTCACAAATAAGGATGCCCTCTCTCACCACTCCTATTCAACACAGTATCGGAAGTCCTGGCAAGAGCAATGAGGCAAGAGAAATAAATACAGGACATTCAAATAGGAAGAAAGGAAGTCAAACCATTCCTGTTTGCAGATGACATGATTCTGTATCTAGAAAACCCCAACGTCTCAGCCCAAAAGCTCCCTAATTTGATAACTTCAGCATGGTCTCAGGATACAAAATCAACATACAAAAATCACTAGCATTCCTATATGCTAACAACAGCCAAGCTGAGAGCCAAATCAGAAAGGCATTCCCATTCACAAAAAGCATAAAATACCTAGGAATATAGCTAACCAGGGAGGTGAAAGATTTCTACAATGAGAATTACAAAGCACTATTCAAAGAAATCAGAGATGACACAAACAAATGCAAAAACATTCCACGCTCATGGATAGGAAAAAATCAGTATTATTAAATTGGCCATGCTGCACAAAGCAATTTACAGATTCAGTGCTATTCCTATTAAACTACCAATGATAGTCTCCCCAGAACTAGAAAAAAATTAATTCATATGTAATCAAAAAAGAGCCCAAATAGCCAAGGCAATCCTAAGCAAAAAGAACAAAGCTGGAGTCATCACGTTGTAATACTCGAATTCAGACTATACTACAGGACTACAGTAGCCAAAACAGCCTGGAACTGGTACAAAAGTGACACATTGACCAACAGAACAGAATAGACAACCCACAAATAAGGCCACACATACAACCATCTGATCTTTGACAAAGCTGACAAAAACAAGCAATGGGGAAAGGACTGTCTATTCAATAAATGGTGCTGGGATAACTGGCTAATGATATGCAGAAGATTGAAACTGGACCCCTTTCTTACACTACATTAAAAAAAACTTAAGATGAATTAAAGACTTAAATGCAAAACTATAAAAACCCTGGAATATAACCTAGGCAATACCATTCTGGACATAGGAGCTGACAGAGATTTCATGACGGAAATGGCAAAAGCAAATACAACAAGAGCAAAAATTGACAAATGGGATCCAATTAAACTAAAGAGCTTCTGCACAAAAAGAGAAACTATCATCAGAGTAAACAGACAACCTACAGAACGGGAGAAAATATTTGCAAACTATGCATCCAACAAAGGTCTAATATCCAGAATCTATAATAAACTTACACAAACTTACAAGATGAAAACAAAAAGCCCATAAAAATGTGTGCAAAGGACATGAACAGACACTTTTCAAAGGAAGACATACAAGCATATGGAAAAAAAGCTCAATATCATTGATCATTAGAGAAACACAAATCAAACCCACAATGAGATACCATCTCACACCAGTCAGGATGGCAATCATTAAGAATTCAAAAAAACCAGATGCTGGTGAGGTTGCAGAGAAAAGGGAATGCTTATACACTGTTGGTGGGAGTGTAAATTAGTTCAGCCATTGTGGAAAGCAGTGTGGTAATTCCTCAAAGAGGTAAAACAGAACTACCATTTGACCCAGAAATCCCATTTCTGGGTATATACCTTGATATGGTTTGGCTGTGCCCCCACCCAAATCTCATCCTGAATTGTAGCTCCCATAATCTCCATATGTCATGGGAGGGATCTTGTGGGAGGTCATTGAATCACGGAGGCAGGTTTTTTCCATGCAGTTCTTGTGATAGTGAATAAGTCTCACTAGATCTGATCATTTTATAAAGGGCAGCTCCTCTGCACATTTGCTCTTGCCTGCCACCATGTAAGACACGCTTTTGTTCCTCCTTTGCCTTCTGTCATGACTGGGAGGCCTCCCCAGCCATGTGGAACTGTGAGTTTATTAAACTCACAGTTTTCTTTATAAATTACTCAGTCTCGGGTATGTGTTCAGAGCAGTATGAAAATGGACTAACACATACCCAAAGAAATATAAACTATTCTATCATAAAGACACATCCCCATGTGTATTCATTGCAGCACTAGTCATGATAGCAAAGACATGGTGATATGGTTTGACTGTGTCCTCACCCAAATCACATCTTGAATTGTAGCTCCCATAATTCCCATGTTTTGTGAGAGGGTCCCAGTGGGAGATAATTAAATCATGGGGGTGGTTTCCCCTATATTATTCTCATGGTAGTGAATAAGTCTCATAGGATATGATGGTTTTATAAGGGGTTTCCACTTTTGCTTGGTTGTCATTCTCTCTTGCCTGCCACCTTGTAAGACATGACTTTGCTCCTCCTTTGCTTCCACCATGATTGTGAGGCCTCCCCAGTCATGTGGAATTTTGAGTCAATTAAACCTCTTTCCTTTATAAATTACCCAGTCTCAGATATGTCTTTATTAGCAGTGTGAGAACAGACTAATACACATGGAATCAACCTAAATGCCCATCAATCGTAGACTGGATAAAGCAAATGTGGTACATATACACCACGAAATACTATGCAGTTCTAAAAAAGAACAAGATCATGTCCTTTGCAGAAACATGGATGGAGCTGGAGGCCATTATCCTTAGCAAACTAACACAAGAACAGAAAACCAAATGTCGCATGTTCTCACTTATAGGTAGAAGCTAAATGATGAGAACACATGGATGCAAAAAAGGAGAACAACAGACACTGGGGGCTACCTTAAGGTGGAAGGCGGAAGGAGGAAGAGAAGCAGAAAAAAAGCTATTGGGTACCAGGCTTAGTACTGGGGTGACAAAATAATGTGTACAGCAAACCCCTGTGACATGAGTTTACCCATATAACAAACATGCACATGTAGCTGAAGCTAAAATAAAAGTTTTAAAAATATATAAATGGGCCAGTCATGGTGACTCACTCCTGTAATCCCAGCACTTTGGGAGGCCAAGGCAGGTGGATCACTTGAGGTCAGGAGTTCCAGATTAGCCTGGCCAACTTGGTGAAACCCCGTCTCTACTAAAAATACATAAATTGGCTGGGCTTGGTGGCGCACACTTGTAGCTCCAGCTACTCCAGAGGCTGAGGCACGAGAATCTCTTGAACCTGAAAAACAGAAGTTGCAGTGAGCCAAGATCATGCCACTACACTCCAGCCTGAGCAACAGAGCAAGACTTCTGTCTCAAAAAAAAAAAAAAAAAAATATATATATATATATATACACACACATATATGTATATATACACACACACGAATAAACAAATAAATTTACAAAAAAATTGTTAATTCTCAAAAAAATGACCTATGTAGTCCATGAAACTTTTGTAGGGATTGATAAACTACATATAAGATTTACATAGATATGCCTACTAGCTGGAATAAATAAAACCATTTTAGAATGGAAGGAAAATGACTACTAGCTGGAATAAATAAAACCATTTTGGAATGGAAGGAAAAAGTTTTAATATTTGCAAGACATGATTTCAAGACTTTTCATAAGCCTACAGCAGTCAACACTGTTATATTGGTGAAAGGTTAGATATATAGTTCAAAGGAGCAGAAAAAATGATGTAAAAATAGACACAAGTATAAATGATCAATTGATTTCAGATAAATGTTAAAAGAAATTCTAAGAATAGAAAGAGTCTGCAACAAATGTTACTAGAACAACTGCATATACACATGAAAAATATAACACCTACCCTTAACTCACAACATAAAGAAAATTAACTCAAAATGTACCATAGATGTAAATGCAAAAAAATAAAAAAAAATTTCTAGATATAAACATAGGAGAAAATTTTTGCATTTGGGAAATAAGATTTTTTGGCATTACACAAGAACCACAAACCGTAAGAGAGGCAAAAAAAATTATACTTTGGTTATGAATTGAATTTTTGTGTCCCCTAAAATTCACATGTTGGAGCCTTAACTTCCAATATGATGGTATATGAAGATGAGGCTTTGGGGAGGTAATTGGGGATATAGGAGGTCATGAGAATGGGGCCCTGGCCTGATGAGATCATAACCCTAAAGAAGAGACCTCAGAAACTGACCATGCTGGCATCCTGTTTCTGTAGAATTATAAGAAAATAAATGTCTATTGTTTAAGCCCCCAGTCTAAGTATTTTTTATGGTAGCCCATGCTGACTGATACATTAGACTTCATCAAAATTTAAAACGTTTGTTCTTCAAGTGACAGCAAACCAACACAGAAAAGGATATAATATTTGCAGTACATATATCTCACATAGGCCTTATGTTCAGAAAAGAGAACAAAAAATTACAAACTTTCGCTGACCATCTGTTTGTTTAAATAAAGTTTTATTGAAATACAACCATGCCCATTTGTTTACATATTATATATGATTGCTTGTGCATTTTAGTGACAGAGATGAGTAGTTATGACAGATTGTTTGGCCAATGAGCCCAGGATATTTCTCTCTGGCCTTTAAGATCTTGCCAACTCTTGAACAAGAATATACAAAGAACTCTTATAAATAAATAAGAAGTAAAACAGCCCAATGTTAAAAACAGATGAAACATTTGAACAGACATTATATATTTAATTAATTTTTTCCTGCTTGCCATCTGTAAACTACTTTTAAACCCATCTAGTTATTTTATCTTTGCAGTGACTGTATTTTTTCAGCTATAGAGTTTATCCTTTTTTATATAGTTTCTATTTTTCTGATTAGATCTATGTTGGTTTGTTTATGCATTTTTTAAGCCTTTGAACATATTACAATACCTTCTTTGAAATCGTTGTCTCCTAAATCCAACAATTGTTATTTGGAGTGGGTCTCAATTGACCACCATTTTTTATTGACATGGCTTATACTTTACTGCTTCTTTTCATTTTTTTAGAGACTTTTGTTCAAAAATAGGACATTATAGGTAATAATTGTAATGACTCTGAAATCTGTTATATTCTTCTGATGGTTGTTGGTTTTATGTTGTGGTAGATAGCTGTCTTCTCTATACTTATACTATAAAGCATATAGTAGACTCTTTTCCGTTTGTTTTGCAACACGTGATCTATTTGTTCAATTCATTTGGCTTCCAGCTGCTGTTCTTTTAACCTGGCGTGTAGGGGAACTCTTTCATGATTGTGAATTTGTCAATAATTTAATAATTTGGGCAGTTTATTATCAGTTTGGAGAACAGGGTTCAGCCTGTCTGCATTTAGTTCCCTTGCATGTAGGTGCCCATCAAATTTCCAGCTGCTCTTTTTTTCCCAAGCTCTGTCATCTGACCATTCAAGTCATTAATGTTAAATTTTTATCTGATGCCTGGGCTTACAAATTCTATCCGTCAAAAGTGCAACAAAATAGGGGCCAATATGGCTGATTAGAAGCATCTCTTACTCACCTCCTTTAATTAAAATAACCAAAATAGTGAAGAGATAATCACTCTTTGAATAGATCATCCAAGAGAAAACACTGGAATTCAACAGAGAAGTGGTGACAAACACCTAAAGCAAGGGAAAGGCAGGGAGCAAGGCAGTCTGCTTAGCCAAGATCAGTGGGGAACCAGAAAAGACTCCCTAATGCAGGGAAAATGTAAATGAGAGATTTCCAGTGGTCCACATTCCCACCAAGAAATCCTATAATCCTAGCCAATGGAGAGCTGCATGACCCTTGCAGGCCCCGAGAATAACATAGGGAGTCCCTGGAAACCACACAAAGGCATTGCTTCAGAAAGAGAGGTCATGCTGGGTCCCACAAGCCCTGAAGTCCTGGGCACAGCAACAAGATGCCATTTTGAGAGCCCAGCCCACACCAGACTGCATCTTGTCCTGCAACCTGGGCCAATATGGCAGCCACCAGCGTGATTCTGCCCCACCCCTGCAGAGGGCTGCACATTCTCACATATCCTGAGGATGAGTTCTGCTGCCTGCAACTGCTGTAGGTGTAGACTGCTATGGGCTGAGGTACACTAAAAGCCCACACCCCCAGCTGCCTGCCTATGTCTGCCCCCAGGAAAAGCAACTCCACCCTCTACAGTAGCACACCCACTGCCTCCTCCACCTGAGCATTCTGTCAGAGGCCTTGGGCTTACCCTACTACTGCACACCATAGCCAATGTGTTTACACACCAACAAGGGGCCTGAGGACACAGGCAGGCCTGGTTGCCCCCATCCCAAGTACCTGAGCACAGCATCCAGGAACCTGGGACTCTCACAGTCTAGTCCACTACTAGTGGCATCTGAGCTCTTCTCCTAGAGTCTAAAGCTGGACCCACTCAACCTGCCACTGCCACCACAGCTAGCACCTACCTCCATATGCCACGTGTGGGTCTGTTAACACTGTTAACACCAGTGGGGACCACCTGGGTCCCAAAGTGCTGTTCCACCACTGCTACTGCCATTGCCCAAGCAACACCCACTCTTTAGGGGCTCAAGAACCCACCCCACCTCCCAACCCTCCACTGATATTCCCAACAATAGAGCAAGCCACCTGGAGGCCCAAGAATTGGCCTGCCTCGACCCACTAATGCTGGTGCTCTGGGGCCCAAAGACAGGCACACTCAGCCCACCGCTGCTACCACTGGTGTCTGAAGACTGGTCTACCTGGTTGTCCAGTCCCCAGCAAAACTTCAGCAAAACCTTCACTAACAACTACACCTTGAGCCACTGAGGAAATTACAGACATCATTGACACTGTTTACAGCCAAAGAAATAATACAGAGACTACACTATTAAATGCACCCAGAATCAAAGCTAAAGTGTAATACCCAAGCAGCACCATAGATATATCTTCAGGAAAAAATCCTTCTCTCCAAAAACAAATTTAAAAAAATGTAAAAAGCAACTGTTAAATCAGATGTGCAGGTAACAAAGTAAGGACATAGGAAGAAGAAAAAACAAGGATATATGACACTTCCAAAGCAACACAATAATTCTCCAGCAACAGATCCTAATCAAAAAGAAATTTATGAAATCTCAGAAGAAAGAATTCAAAATTTTGATGCTAAAGAAGCTCAGTGACATATAAGAGAATTCTGGAAAACAATACAAAGAAATCAGAAAGACAATTCAGAACATGAATGAGAAATTTACCAGAGATAGATATAAAACAGAACCAAACAGAAATCCTGGAAGAGAATAATTAATTGAATGAAATACACAATGCATTTGAAAGTTTCAACAATAGGCTAGATACAGTAAGAAAAAAAAATCAGAATGTGAAGACAAGTCTTTTGAAATAATCCAGTGAGCAAAAATAAAAATAAAAAAGAATAAATCCCTTATGACATATGAGATCCCATAAAGTGGCCCAATTTTCAAATTTCACCTAAAGAAAGGTGAAACAAAGGGCACAGAGCCACCTCTCTGTACATACTCAGTAAACTGGTCAAAACCAGTCTATAGCCAGCAGTCATTTAGCAAAAAGGAATGCTTTGTAGACAAGGAGAACTGCAATGCTAGAACCATGAAAACAAAAGGAGTGGTGTCAGGTGGTCAAATTAAATAAGTGGAGGTGTTTTCCTGTCTTTTGTTCTCCCAAGCTGGCTTTTGAGAAAATCTGGTAATAATAAGTAAGGGGAAGCCAAGAGTGGGATATAACCAATCTGTCTCATCATGGCCAGGAACTCAAAGGTTTTGGGGTATTTTAGCCTAGTGGGTTGTATTAGTCCATTCTCACACTAATTTTATGCTAATAAAGACACACCCAAGTCTTGGTAATTTACAAAGGAAAGAAGTTTAATTGACTCACAGTTCAGGCTAGCTGAGGAGGCCTCAGGAAACTTACAATCATGGCAGAAGAAGAAGCAAACACGTTCATCTTCACTTGGCAGCAGCAAGAAGTGCCAAGCAAAAGGGGGGAAAGCCCCTTATAAAACCATAGATCTTGTGAGAACTCACTCACTATCATGAGAACAGCAGCATGGGGTAACCACCCCCAAGATTCAGTTACCTCCCACCAGGCCCCTCCCACATGTGGGGATTATGGGAACTACAATTCAAGATGAGATTTGGGTGGGGATATAGCCAAACCATACCAAGGGTCCATTAGTGTGTCGATGGGGTGGGGGGTTGAACCTTTGTTTCAGTCTTCAAATGGAGTGAAGAACAAAAATTATATAGTCATCTCAATAATGCAGAAAAACGTGAAAAAAATTAACTTCCCTTTATGATTAAAACTCTCAACAAACTACCCATAGAATGAACATACCTCAAAATAATAAGACCTTATATGACAAACTCACAGCTGACATCATACTGAATGGGGAAAAATGGAAAACCATTTCTCTAAGAACTGGAACAAAACAAGGATACCCACATTCAGCTCTACTATTGAACATAGTACTGGAAATCCTAGCCAAAACAATCAGGTGAGAGAAAGAAATAACCATCCAAATTGGAAAAGAGAAAGTCAAATTGCCTCTCTTTGCAAACCACATGATTTTCTATTTTTAAAAACCAAAACATGTCATCAAAAAAACTCTTAGAACTGATGAAACAAATTCAGTAAAGTTGTAGAACAAAAAATCAACATACAAAAAATTAATACCATTTCTATATACCAATAATAAAATTGGAAAAAATAAATCAAGAAGGCAGTTCATTTATAATAGCTACCAAAAATACCTAGAAATAAATCATAAATACTACAATCAAATGGAAAAACATTTTATCCTCAAGGATAGGAAGAATCAATATTGTTAAAATGGCCATACTGTCATAAGCAATTTACAATTCAACGCTATTCCTATCAAACTCCCAATGACATTTTTTCACAGAATTAGAAAAAAAAAACTATTCTAAAATTTACATGAAACCAAAAAAGAACCCAAATATCTAAAGTAATCCTAAGCAAAAAAGAAAAAAGCTGAAGGCATCACACTATTTGGCTTCAAACTATACTATGAGGCTACAGTAACCAAAACAGCATGGTACTAATTCAAAAACACACACATAGAGCAAAGGGACAGAATAGAGAACCCAGAAATAAAGCCATACACGTATAACCATCTGATTTTTAACAAAGTTGACAAAAACATGCAAAGGAAAAAGGCCTCACTATTCAATAAATGGTGCTGGAATAACTGTCTAACCACATGCAGAAGCCTGAAACTGGGCCCTTTCTTTTCACCATATACAAAAATCAACTGAAGATGGCTTAAAGACTTAAATGTAAAAACTAAAACTATAAAAACCTTGTAGAAAACCTAGGCAATACCATTCTGGACATAGACCCTAGTGAAGATTTCATGATGAAGACACCAAAAGTAATTACCACAAAAGCAAAAATTGACAAACAGGATCTAATTAAACTAAAGAGCTTCTGCACAGCAAATGAAACTATCAACAGAGTAAACAGACAACCTACAGTATGGGAGAAAATATTTGCAAACTATGCATCCAATGAAGGTCTAAAATCCAGCATCTATAAGGAACTTAAACAAATTTACAAGAAGAAAACGACCCCATAAAAAGGTGGGCAAAGGACATGAATAAATACTTCTCAAAAGAAGACATACATGTGGCCAACAAGCAAATAAAAAATGTTAACATCACCAATTATTAGAGAAATGCAAATCAAAACCACAATGAGATACCCATCTCAAATCAGTTAGAATGGCTATTATTAAACATTCAAAAAATAATAGATGCTGCTGAGGCTGTGGAGAAAAGGAATACTAATGCACTGCTGGTAGGAGGGTAAACTTGTTCATCCACTATTAAAAGCAGTTTTTAGATTTCTCAAAGAACTTAAAACAGAACTACCATTCAATTCAGTAATCCCATATACAATTTGATACTTACCCAAAGAAAATAAATAACTCTAGCACAAAGACACATGTATGTGTATGTTCATTGCAGCACTGTTCACAATAGCAAAGACATGGAATCAACCTAAATGCCCAACAATGGTGTATTGGGAGAACCTGCCCCCAATACTTCAAAGTAGGTTCTTTCTATTTTCTGTAAGTGTCAGCTGGATGAGAAATAAAGAGAGACAGTATAAAGAGAGGAATTTTATGGCTGGGCCACCAGGGGTGACATCACATGTCGGTAGGACCATGATGCCCACCTGAGTCTCAGACCAGCAAGTTTTTATTAAGGGTTTCAAAAGGGGAGAGGGTGTAAGAACAGAGTAGGTACAAAGATCACATGCTTCAAAGAGCAAAAAGCAGAACCACTGATAAGGGTCTAACAAAGATCACATACTTCTGAGAGAACAGGGCAAAGGGCAAAAGCAGAGCCACTGATAAGGGTCCAAGAAAGATCATAGGGCAAAAGGCAAAAGCAGAACAACTGATAAGGGTCCAACAAAGATCACAGGGCAAAGGGCAAAAGCAGAACCACTGATAAGGGTCTATGTTCAGCAGTGCATGTATTGTCTTGATAAACATCTTAAACAACAGAAAACAGGGTTCAGGAGCAGAGAACCGGTCTGACCACAAATTTACCAGGGCTGAGTTCTCCCAAACCTACTTAGCCTGAGGGTTCTGCAGGAGACCAGGGCTTATCTCTGTCCTTATCTCAACTGCACAAGACAGACATTCCCAGAGCAGCCATTTATAGACCTCCCCCCAGGAACGCATTCTTTTCCCAGGGTATTAATATTAATATTTCTTGCTAGGAAAAGAATTTAGTGATATGTTTCCCACTTGCATGCCTGCTTATAGGCACTCTGCAAGAAGAAAAATATGGCCGTTTTTGCCCAATCCCGCAGGGCAGTCAGACCTTATGGTTGTCTTCCCTTGTTCCATAGAATTCGCTATTATTCTGTTTTTTTTCAAGGTGCACTGATTTCATATTGTTCAAACACACGTCTTACAGTCAATTTGTACAGTTAACACAATTATCACAGTGGTCCTGAGGTGACGCACATCCTCAGCTTACGAAGATAACAGGATTAAGAGATAAAAGACAGGCATAAGAAATTATAAAAGTATTATTTGAGAACTGATAAATGTACATATTAAGATGAAATCTTCACAATTTATGTTCCTCTGCCACAGCTCCAGCTGGCCCCTCTGTTCAGGGTCTCTGACTTCCCATAACATAGATGGACTAAATAAAGAAAATGTGGTACATATACACCATGGAATACTATGCAGCCATTAAAAAACAATATGAATAGGAGTGGTGAGAGAGGGCATCCCTGTCTTGTGCCAGTTTTCAAAGGGAATGCTTCCAGTTTTTGCCATTCAGTATGATATTGGCTGTGGGTTTGTCATAGATAGCTCTTATTATTTTCAAATATGTCCCATCAATACCTAATTTATTGAGAGTTTTTAGCATGAAGCGTTGTTGAATTTTGTCAAAGGCCTTTACTGCATCTACTGAGATAATCATGTGGTTTTTGTCTTTGGCTCTGTTTATATGCTGGATTACATTTATTGATTTGCATATATTGAACCAGCCTTGCATCCCAGGGATGAAGCCCACTTGATCATGGTGGATAAGCTTTTTCATGTGCTGCTGGATTCGGTTTGCCAGTATTTTATTGAGGAATTTTGCATCAATGTTCATCAAGGATATTGGTCTAAAATTCTCTTTTTTGGTTGTGTCTCTGCCCGGCTTTGGTATCAGAATGATGCTGGCCTCATAAAATGAGTTAGGGAGGATTCCCTCTTTTTCTACTGATTGGAATAGTTCCAGAAGGAATGGTACCAGTTCCTCCTTGTACCTCTGGTAGAATTCGGCTGTGAATCCATTTGGTCCTGGACTCTTTTTGGTTGGTAAGCTATTGATTATTGCCGCAATTTCAGATCCTGTTATTGGTCTATTCAGAGGTTCAACTTCTTCCTGGTTTAGTCTTGGGAGAGTGTATGTGTCAAGGAACTTATCCATTTCTTCTAGATTTTCTAGTTTATTTGCGTAGAGGTGTTTGTAGTATTCTCTGATGGTAGTTTGTATTTCTGTGGGATCGGTGGTGATATCCCCTTTATCATTTTTTGTTGCATCTATTTGATTCTTCTCTCTTTTTTTCTTTATTAGTCTTGCTAGTGGTCTATCAATTTTGTTGATCCTTTCAAAAAACCAGCTCCTGGATTCATTAATTTTTTGAAGGGTTTTCTGTGTATCTATTTCCTTCAGTTCTGCTCTGATTTTAGTTATTTCTTGCCTTCTGCTAGCTTTTGAATGTGTTTGCTCTTGCTTTTCTAGTTCTTTTAATTGTGATGTTAGGGTGTCAATTTTGGATCTTTCCTGCTTTCTCTTATGGGTATTTAGTGCTATAAATTTCCCTCTACACACTGCTTTGAATGTGTCCCAGAGATTCTGGTATGTTGTGTCTTTGTTCTCGTTGGTTTCAAAGAACATCTTTATTTCTGCCTTCATTTCGTTATGTACCCAGTAGTCATTCAGGAGCAGGTTGTTCAGTTTCCATGTAGTTGAGTGGTTTTGAGTGAGATTCTTAACCCTGAGTTCTAGTTTGATTGCACTGTGGCCTGAGAGATAGTTTGTTATAATGTCTGTTCTTTTACATTTGCTGAGGAGAGCTTTACTTCCAAGTATGTGGTCAATTTTAGAATAGGTGTGGTGTGGTGCTGAAAAAAATGTCTATTCTGATGATTTAGGGTGGAGAGTTCTGTAGATGTCTATTAGGTCTGCTTGGTGCAGAGCTGAGTTCAATTCCTGGATATCCTTGTTAACTTTCTGTCTCGTGGATCTGTCTAATGTTGACAATGGGGTGTTAAAGTCTCCCATTATTATTGTGTAGGAGCCTAAGTCTCTTTGTAGGTCTCTAAGGACTTGCTTTCTGAATCTGGGTGCTCCTGTATTGGGTGAATATATATTTAGGATAGTTAGCTCTTCTTGTTGAATTGATCCCTTTACCATCATGTAATGGCCTTCTTTGTCTCTTTTGATCTTTGTTGGTTTAAAGTCTGTTTTATCAGAGACTAGAATTGCAACCCTTGCCTTTTTTTGTTTTCCATTTGCTTGGTAGATATTCCTCCATCCCTTTATTTTGAGCCTATGTGTGTCTCTGCACGTGAGATGGGTTTCCTGAATACAGCACACTGATGGGTCTTGACTCTTTATCCAATTTGCCAGTCTGTGTCTTTTAATTGGAGCATTTAGTCCATTTACATTTAAAGTTAATAGTGTTATGTGTGAATTTGATCCTGTCATTATGATGTTAGCTGGTTATTTTGCTCGTTAGTTGATGCAGTTTCTTCCTAGTCTCTATGGTCTTTACATTTTGGCATGATTTTGCAGTGGCTGGTACCAGTTGTTCCTTTCCATGTTTAGTGCTTCCTTCAGGAGCTCTTTTAGGGCAGGCCTGGTGGTGACAAAATCTCTCAGCATTTGCTTGTCTGTAAAATATTTTATTTCTGCTTCACTTATGAAGCTTAGTTTGGCTGGATATGAAATTCTGGGTTGAAAATTCTTTTCTTTAAGAATGTTGAATATTGGCCCCCACTCTCTTCTGGCTTGTAGGGTTTCTGCCGAGAGATCCGCTGTTAGTCTGATGGGCTTCCCTTTGAGGGTAACTCGACCTTTCTCTCTGGCTGCCCTTAACATTTTTTCCTTCATTTCAACTTTGGTGAATCTGACAATTATGTGTCTTGGAGTTGCTCTTCTCGAGGAGTATCTTTGTGGCGTTCTCTGTATTTCCTGAATCTGAACGTTAGCCTGCCTTGCTAGATTGGGGAAATTCTCCTGGATAATGTTGGAAGTTCTGGCCAGGGCAATTAGGCAGGAGAAGGAAATAAAGGGTATTCAATTAGGAAAAGAGGAAGTCAAACTGTCCCTGTTTGCAGATGACATGATTGTATATCTAGAAAACCCCATTGTCTCAGCCCAAAATCTCCTTAAGCTGATAAGCAACTTCAGCAATGTCTCAGGATACAAAATCAATGTACAAAAATCACAAGTATTCCTATACACCAACAACAGACAAACAGAGAGCCAAATCATGAGTCAACTCCCATTCACAATTGCTTCAAAGAGAATAAAATACCTAGGAATCCAACTTACAAGGGATGTGAAGGACCTCTTCAAGGAGAACTACAAACCACTGCTCAACAAAATAAAAGAGGATACAAACAAATGGAAGAACATTCCATGCTCATGGGTAGGAAGAATCAGTATCGTGAAAATGGCCATACTGCCCAAGGTAATTTACAGATTCAATGCCATCCCCATCAAGCTACCAATGACTTTCTTCACAGAATTGGAAAAAACTACTTTAAAGTTCATATGGAACCAAAAAAGAGCCCACATCGCCAAGTCAATCCTAAGCCAAAAGAACAAAGCTGGAGGCATCACACTACCTGACTTCAAACTATACTACAAGGCTACAGTAACCAAAACAGCACGGTACTGGTACCAAAACACAGATATAGATCAATGGAACAGAACAGAGCCCTCAGAAATAACGCCACATATCTACAACTATCTGATCTTTGACAAACCTGAGAAAAACAAGCAATGGGGAAAGGATTCTCTATTTAATAAAGGGTGCTGGGAAAACTGGCTAGCCATATGTAGAAAGCTGAAACTGGATCCCTTCCTTACACCTTATACAAAAATCAATTCAAGATGGATTAAAGACTTAAAGGTTAGACCTAAAACCATAAAAACCCTAGAAGAAAACCTAGGCATTACCATTCAGGATATAGGCATGGGCAAGGACTTCATGTCTAAAACACCAAAAGCAATGGCAACAAAAGCCAAAATTGACAAATGGGATCTAATTAAACTAAAGAGCTTCTGCACAGCAAAAGAAACTACCATCAGAGTGAACAGGCAACCTACAAAATGGGAGAAAATTTTCGCAACCTACTCATCTGACAAAGGGCTAATATCCAGAATCTACAATGAACTCCAACAAATTTACAAGAAAAAAACAAACAACCCCATCAAAAAGTGGGCGAAGGACATGAACAGACACTTCTCAAAAGAAGACATTTATGCAGCCAAAAAACACATGAAAAAATGCTCACCATCACTGGCCATCAGAGAAATGCAAATCAAAACCACAATGAGATACCATCTCACACCAGTTAGAATGGCAATCATTAAAAAGTCAGGAAACAACAGGTGCTGGAGAGGATGTGGAGAAATAGGAACACTTTTACACTGTTAGTGGGATTGTAAACTAGTTCAACCATTGTGGAAGTCAGTGTGGCAATTCCTCAGGGATCTAGAAGTAGAAATACTATTTGACCCAGCCATCCCATTACTGGGTATACACCCAAAGGACTATAAATCGTCCTGCTATAAAGACACATGCACACGTATGTTTATTGTGGCATTATTCACAATAGCAAAGACTTGGAACCAACCCAAATGTCCATCAATGATAGACTGGATTAAGAAAATGTGGCACATATACACCATGGAATACTATGCAGCCATAAAAAATGGTGAGTTAATGTCCTTTGTAGGGACATGGATGAAATTGGAAATCATCATTCTCAGTAAAGTATCACAAGAACAAAAAACCAAACACCGCATATTCTCACTCATAGGTGGGAATTGAACAATGAGATCACATGGACACAGGAAGGGGAACATCACACTCTGGGGACTGTTGTGGGGTTGGGGGAGGGGGCAGGGATAGCATTGGGAGATATACCTAATGCTAGATGACGAGTTAGTGGGTGCAGCACACCAGCATGGCACATGTATACGTATGTAACTAACCCACACAATGTGCACATGTACCCTAAAACTTAAAGTATAATAAAAAAAAATTAAAAAAAAAAAACAATATGAGATCATGTCCTTTGTAGCAGCATGAATGGAGCTGGAGACCATTATCCTCAGCAAATTAACCACAGGAACAGGAAACGAAATTGCACTTGTTCTCACTTACAAGTGGGAGCTAAACATTCAGTATACATGAACACAAAGAAGGGAACAATAGACACTGTGGCCTTCTTGAGGATGTAGTGTTGTAGGAAGGAGAGGATTAAATAACTACCTTTGGGGTACTAAGCTCATTACCTGGGTAATGAAATTATCTTTATACCAAAACCCCTATGATGTGCAATTTACCCATATAAAAAAACCCACACATGTACTTCCTGAACCGAAAAGTTGGAAAAATAAAATAAATAAAATAAAATAAAATAAGTCATTAACTAGTTGAGCAAATAAAACACTGGAAGATAGAATACCTGTTTAATACATGCACATATTTAAAGCCAATACATATTGGGTACTACAAGGTTACATTCAGAATTATTTCAGTATGTTGGCTCATGCCTTGCCCTCCTCACCAGAAACCAGAAGAAAGAATGTGATTTATTATGTGTTAATAATTAAGCACAGCCCAGGATCATAAACTTTTAAACAGGCTTTTTAAAAACATAGCCATGATCAACTTTTTCTTGTTTAAAGGAAATTTATATGAAAAGGAAGGATTGTTTATTTAGTTGATAAAATTACAACAATGAAATACTCAGAGATGTTTTAAAAACTAAAGACAGTTATATGTAAATAAATGAGTATTTCTTCCATAAAAGAGGTAAAAAATCTCTACAAGGAATACTAGAAAATAAAAAACTGGTAAAAGAAATTGAAGAGAACAGAAACTAATGGAAAGAAATTTTACGCTTATGTTATGAAAGAATTAATTTTGTTAAAATGATCCTACTGCCCAAAGGAATCTGCATATTCAATGTAACCTCTGTCAAAATATCAATGTCACTTTCACAGAAATAGAAAAAACAATCCTAAAATATATATGAAACCAAAAAAAGAGACAGAATAGCCAAAGCAATTCTTAGCAAAAAGAAGAAAGCTGGAGGCATCATGCTACCTGATCTCTAAATATATTATAAGGCTTTAGTGACCAAAACAACATAGTATTAGCATAAAAACAGACACATAAACCAGTGGAACAAAACAGATAACCCAGAAATAAATGCACATATTTACAGCCAACTGATCTTCAATGAAGTCCTTAAGAACATACATTAAGGAAAGGACACTTTTTGAATAAATAGTGCTCCATATGATTGAAATGTGGAAGAATGAAACTGAACCCCACACTCTTACTATATGCAAAAATCAACTCAAGATTGATTAAAGACTTAAACATAAAACGTGACACTAAAACTACTGAAAGAAAACATGGAGAAAGCTATTCAGACATTGGTCTAGGCAAACATTTTATAGCAAACGCCTCAACACCACAGGAAACAAAAACAAAAATAGACAAATGAGACTATATTAAACTAAAACCCTTTGGTACAGGAAAAGAAACAGTCAACAGAGTGAAGGAACAACCTCTTGAATGGGAGAAAATATTTGCAAACTATTCATCCAACAGGGGACTAATATCGAGAATATACAAGGAACTCAAACAACTCAACAGTAAAAATAATAATAATTAATAATCCCATTAAAAATAAACAAACACACAAAAAGACATTTCTCAAACTAAGACATATAGATGGCTGACAGGTATATGAAAAACCTGCCCAACATTCCTAATCACCAGAGAAATGCAAATTTAAACCATAAGAAGATATCATCTGTAGTTAGAATGGCTATTATTAAAAAGACAAAAATAACAGGTGTTGGTGAAGATATAGAGAAAAGCAATTGTTGTACAGTTGATGGGAATGTAAACTGGTACAGCCACTATGGAAAAAGAGTATGGAGATTTTTTCAAAAAACTAAAAATAGTACTACTATGTGATTTAGCAATCCCACTCCTGGGTGTCTATCCAAGGGAAAAATAATCAATATATCAAAGGGATACATAAACTCTTATGTTTACTGCAGAATTACTCACAATAACAAAGATAAGGAATCAACCTAAGTGCGTGTCAATGGATGAATGGAAAAGGAAAATATGGTGTATATATACATGATGGAATAGCATTTGGACATTAAAAAAAAGAATGAAATTATGTCATTTGCAGCAAAATGGGTGGAACTAGAGATCATTAGGTTAAGTGAAACAAGCCAAGTACAGAAAGAAACATATTGCATGTTCTCACTCATATGTCAAGCCAAAAAAGTTTATTTCATAGAGGTAAAGAGGAGAAGGATAGGTACCCTCCTGGAGAGGGTGTATTGTGGTGAGGGAGGGTAGATAAAGAGAGGTCGGTTAATAGGTACAAACATACAGTTAGATAGAAGGAATAAGTTTTTTGGGTTTTTGTTTTTGTTGTTGTTGTTGTTTTTAACTCAGTCTCACTCTGTCACCCAGGCTGAAGTGCAGTCATGTGATCTTGGCTCACTGCAACCTCCCAGGTTCAAGTGATTCTCATGCCTCAGCCTCCAGAGTAGTAAATTTTTGTATTTTTAGTAGACATGGGGTTTCACCATGTTGGCCAGGCTGGTGTCGAACTCCTGGTCTCCAGTGATCCACCTGCCTCAGCATCCCAAAGTGCTGAGATTACAGGCATGAGCCACTGTGCCCAGCCCATAAGGAATAACTTCTAATAAGCTCAGAAAGCAAAGTGGGGTAACTATAGTTAAAACTATGTATTGCATTTTTCAAGATAGCTAAAAGAGAACAGCTGAAATGTACCTGATATGGCTTGGATCTATGTTCCCACCAAATCTCATGTCAAATTTTAATCTCCAGAGTTGAAGACGGGACTGGTGGGAGGTGATGTAATCATGGGGAAAGTTTCCCATGAATGGTTTAGCACCATCTCCCTGGTGGTATTCTTGTGGTAGTGAGTGAGTCCTCATAAGATCTGGTTGTTTAACACAAAAGTGTGTGGCAACTCCCCACTCTTTCTCTTTTGCTTCTGCTCCTGCCATGTAAGACATGTCTTCTTCCCCTTCACCTTTCACCATGATTGGAAGCTTCCTGAGGCCTCCCTAGGAGCAGAAGCCACAATGCTTCCTGCAGAACTCTGAGTCAATTAAATCTCCCTTCCTTATAAATTACTCAGGTATTCCTTTACAGCCATTTGAGAATGAACTAATACAGAAAATTGGTACTGAGTAGTGGGACATTGGTATAAAGATACCTGACAATGTGAAAGCAGCTTTGGAACTGGGCAACAGGAAGAGGTTGGAAGAGTATAGAGGGCTCAGAAGAAGACAGGAAGATGAGGGAGGGAAATGTTCAAACTTCCTAGAGACTTGTTGAATTGTTGTGACCGAAATGCTGATAGTGATTTGTATACAGAAGGCCAGGCTGATGAGGTCTCAGACAGAGTTGAGAAACTTATTAGGAACTGGAGCAAAAGCACTTTTGTTATACCTTAACAAAGAATATGGCTGCATTGTTCCCCTGATCAAGGGATCTATGGAACTTTGAAATTGAGAGTGATGACTTAAGGTATCTGGAGGAAGATATTTCCAAGCAGAAAAGCATTCAAGATGTGGCCTGGCTACATCCTATGGTCATATGCATGAGCAAAGAAATAACCTGAAGTTGGAACTTATACATTTAAAGAGAAGCAGAGCATATAAGTTTGGAAAATTTGCAACCTGTGGTAGAAAAGAAAATCCCATTTTCAGGGAAGGAATTCAAGCAGGATGCAGAAATTTACATAAGTAAAAAGGAGCCAAGTACTAATAGCCAAGACAATGGGGAAAGGCCTCGAAGGCATTTCAGAGACCTTCACAGCAGCCCCTTTATCACAGGCATAGAGGTTTAGGAGGACTGAATTATTTCCTGGGCCAGACCGAAGAACTTCCTGCACTGTGCTGCCTCAGGACACTGCTCCCTGCATCCCAGCCACTCCAGCTCCAGCCATAGCTCAAAGGAGCTCAGGTACAGCTTGGGCTGCTGCTTCAGAGGGAACATACCATAAGTCGTGGTGTCATCTACGTGGTCTTAAGCCTGTGGCTGCACAGAGTGCAAGAATTAAGGCTCGAGAGCCTCTGCCTAGAATTCAGAGGATGTACAGAAAACCCAGGGTATCAAGGCAGAAGCCTGTTGCAGAGTTGGAGCCCTCAATGAGAAACTGCTAGGACAATGCAGAAGGAAAATGTAGGGTTGGAGCTCCCACACACAGTCCCCACTAGGGCACTGCCTAGTGAAGCTGTGAGAAGAGGGCCACCACCCTCCAGATTCCAGAATGATAGATCCACCAACAGCTCGTACCCTGCACCTGGAAATGCCACAGGCACTCAACAACAGCCCATGAAAGCACGTGAGGGGGCTGAATCCTGCAAATCCATAGGGTGAGTTGCCCAAGGCCTTGGAAGCCCACCCATTGTACCTGTGTGTCCTGGATTGGAGACATGGAGTCAAAAAATTATTTTGAATCTTTAAAATTTAATGACTGCCCTTATGGGGCATAGCTGAACAAAAAGCAGCAGAAACTTCTGCAGACTTAAACGTCCATGTCTGACAGTTCTGAACAGAGCAGTGGTTCTCCCAGCACAAAGATTGAGCTCTGAGAACGGACAGACTGCCTCCTCAAGTGGGTCCCTGATCCCCATGTAGCCTAACTGGGAGACACCTCCCAGTAGGGGTCGACTGACACCTCATACAGCTGGGTGCCCGTCTGAGATGAAGCCTCCAGAGGAATGACCAGGCAGCAATATTTGCTGTTCTGCAGCCTCCTCTGGTGATACCCAGGCAAACAGGGTCTGGAGTGGACTTCCAGCAAACTCCAACAGACCTGCAGCTAAGGGACCGGACTGTTAGAAGGAAAACTAACAAACAGAAAGGAATAGCATCAACATCAACAAAAAGGACAACCACATCAAAACCCCATCTGTAGGTCACCATCATCAAAGACCAAAGGTAGATAAAACCACAAAGATGGAGAGAAACCAGAGCAGAAAAGCTGAAAATTCTAAAAACCAGAGTGCCTCTTCTCCAAAGGATCGCAGCTCTTCACCAGCAATGGAACAAAGCTAGATGGAGAATGACTTTGATGAGTTGACAGAAGTAGGCTTCAGAAGGTCAGTAATAACAAACTTCTCCGAGCTAAAGAAGGATGTTCAAACCCATCACAAGGAAGCTAAAAACCTTGAAAAAAGATTAGATGAATGGCTAACTAGAATAAACAGCATAGAGAGGACCTTAAATGGCCTGGTAGAGCTGAAAACCATGGCACGAGAACTACGTGATGCATGCACAAGCTTCAGTAGCTGATTCGATCAAGTGGGAGAAAGGGTATCAGTGACTGAAGATCAAATTAATGAAATGAAGTGAGAAGAGAAGTTTAGAGAAAAAAGAATAAAAAGAAATGAACAAAGCCTCCAAGAAATATGGGACTATGTGAAAAGACCAAATCTACGTTTGATTGGTATACTCCAGATTCCAGAATGGTAGATCCACCAACAGCTTGAAAGTGACGGGGAGAATGGGACCAAGTTGGAAAACACTCTTTAGGATATTATCCAGGAGAACTTCCCCAATCTAGCAAGGCAGGCCAACATTCAAATTCAGGGAATACAGAGAATGCCATAAAGATACTCCTCGAGAAGAGCAACTCCAAGACACATAATTGTCAGATTCACCAAAGTTGAAATGAAGGAAAAAATGTTAAGGGCAGCCAGAGAGAAAGGTCGGGTTACCCACAAAGGGAAGCCCATCAGACTAACAGTGGATCTCTCCACAGAAACTCTACAAGCAGAAGAGAGTGGGGGTCAATATTCAACATTCTTAAAGAAAAGAATTTTCAACCCAGAATTTCATATCCAGCCAAACTAAGCTTCATAAGTGAAGGAGAAATAAAATACTTTACAGACAAGCAAATGCTGAGAGACTTTGTCACCACCAGGCCTGCCTTACAAGAGCTCCTGAAGGAAGCACTAAACACTGAATGGAACAACTGGTACCAGCCACTGAAAAAACATGCCAAATTGTAAAGACCATTGATGCTAGAAAGAAACTGCATCAACTAATAGACAAAATAACCAGCTAACATCATAATGACAGGATCAAATTCATACATAACAATATTAACCTTAAGTGTAAATGGGCTAAATGCCCCAGTTAAAACACACAGACTGGCAAATTGAATAAAGAGTCAAGATCCATCAGTGTGCTGTATTCAGGGAACCCATCTCATGTGCAGAGACACACACAGGCTAAAAATAAAGAGATGAGGCGGAAGATCTACCAAGCAAATGGAAAACAAAAAAAAACAGAGATTGCAGTCCTAATCTCTGATAAAACAGACTTTAAACCAACAAAGATCAAAAGAGACAAAGAAGGCCATTACTTAATGGTAAAGGGATCAATTCAACAAGAAGAGCTAACTATCCTAAATATGTATGCACCCAATACAGGCACCAAGATTCATAAACAAGTGTTTAGAGACCTACAAAGAGACTTAAGACTCCCACACAATAATAATGGGAGGCTTTAACACCCCACTGTCAATATTAGACAGATCAAGGAGATAGAAGGTTAACAAGGATATCCAGGACTTGAACTCAGCTCTGCACCAACCAGGCCTAATAGACTTCTACAGAACTCTCCACAGAATATACATTCTTCTCAGCACCACATCACACTTATTCCAAAATTGACCACATAGTTGGAAGTAAAGCACTCCTCAGCAAATATAAAAGAACAGAAATCGCAGCAAATGGTCTCTCAGACCACAGTACAATCAAATTAGAAATCAGGATTAAGAAAATCACTCAAAACTGCTCAACTACATGGAAACTGAACAACCTGCTCCTGAATGACTACTGGGTAAATAACAAAATGAAGGCAGAAATAAACATGTTCTTTGAAACCAATGAGCACAAAGACAAAACGCACCAGAATCTCTGGGACACATTTAAAGCAGTGTGTAGAGGGAAATTTGTAGCACTAAATGCCCACAAGAGAAAGCAGGAAATATCAAAAATGGACACCCTAACACCACAATTAAAAGAACTAGAGAAGCAAGAGCAAACACATTCAAAAGGTAGCAGAAGGCAAGAAATAACTAAGATGAAAGCAGAACTGAAGGAGATGAGAGATACAAAAAACCCTTCAAAAAATCAATGAATCCAGGACCTAGTTTTTTAAAAAGATCAACAAAATTGATAGACCACTAGCAAGACTAATAAAGAAGAAAAGAGAGAAGAATCAAATAGACGCAATAAAAAATGATAAAGGAGATATCACCACTTATCGAACAGAAATACAAACTACCATCAGAGAATACTATAAACACCTCTACGCAAATAAACTAGAAAATCTAGAAGAAATGGATAAATTCCTGGACACATAAACCCTCCCAAGACTAAACCAGGAAGAAGTTGAATCCCTGAATAGACTAAGAACAGGCTCTGAAATTGAGGCACTAATTAATAGCCTACCAACCAAAAAAAGTCCAGGACCAGATGGATTCACAGCCAAATTCTACCAGAGGTACAAAGAGGAGCTGGTACCATTCCTTCTGAAACTATTCCAATCAATAGAAAAAGAAGGAATCCTCCCTAACTCATTTTATGAGGCCAGCATCATCCTGATACCAAAGCCTGGCAGAGACACAATAAAAAAAGAGGATGTTAGACCAATATCCCTGATGAACATCAGTGCAAAAATCCCCAATAAAATACTGGCAAACTGAATCCAGCAGCACATCAAAAAGCTTATCCACCACGATCAAATCGGCTTCATCCCTGGGATGCAAGACTGGTTCAACATATGCAAATCAATAAACGTAATCCATCACATAAACAGAACCAATGACAAAAACGACATGATTTTCTCAATAGATGCAGAAAAGGCCTTTGACAAAATTCAACAGCCCTTCATGCTAAAAACTCTCAATAAACTAGGTATTGATGGAACATGTCTCAAAATAATAAAAGCTATTTATGACAAACCCATAGCCAATATCATACTGAATGGGCAAAAACTGGAAGCATCCCCTTTGAAAACCTGCACAAGACAGGGATGCCCTCTTTCACCACTCCTATTCAACATTGTGTTGGAAGTTCTGGCCAAGGCAGTCAGGCAAGAGAAAGAAATAAAGGGTATTCAGTTAGGAAAAAAGGAAGTCAAATTGTCCCTGTTTGCAGACGACATGATTGCATATTTAGAAAACCCCATTGTCCCAGCCCAAAATCTCCTTAAGCTGATAAGCAACTTCAGCAAAGTCTCAGGATACAAAATCAATGTACAAAAATTACAAGCATTCCTATACACCAATAACAGACAAACAGCCAAATCATGAGTGCTTCAAAGAGAATAAAATACCTAGGAATCCAACTTACTAGGGATATGAAGGACCTCTTCAATGAGAACTAAAAACCACTGTTCAACAAAATAAAAGAGGACATAAACAAATGGAAGAACATTCCATGCTCATGAATAGGTAGAATCAATATTGTGAAAATGGCCATACTGCCCAAGGTAATTTATAGATTCAATACCATCCCCATCAAACTGCCAATGACTTTCTTCACAGAATTGGAAAAAAACTACTTTAAAGTTCATATGGAACCAAAAAAGAGCCCACATTGCCAAGTCAGTCCTAAGCCAAAAGAACAAAGCTGGAGGCATCATGCTACCTGACTTCAAACTATACTACAAGGCTACAGTCACCAAAACAGCATGGTACTGGTACCAAAACAGAGATATAGATCAATGGAACAGAACGGAGTCCTCAGAAATAACACCACACATCTACAGCCATCTGATCTTTGACAAACCCGATTAAAAACAACAACTGGGGAAAGGATTCCCTATTTAATAAAGGGTGCTGGGAAAACTGGCTAGACATATGTAGAAAGCTGAAACTGGATCCCTTCCTTACACCTTATATAAAAATTGATTCAAAAAGGATTAAAGACTTAAATGTTAGACCTAAAACCATAAAAACCCTAGAAGAAAACCTAGCCAATACCATTCAGGACACAGGTGTGGGCAAGGACTAGAACACCAAAAGCAATGGCAACAAAAGCCAAAATTGACAAATGGGATCTAAATAAACTAAAGAACTTCTGCACGGCAAAAGAAACTACCATCAGAGTGAACAGGCAACCTACAGAATGGGAGAAAATTTTTGCAATCTACCCATCTGACAAAGGGCTAGTATCCAGAATCTACAAAGAACTTAAACAAATTTACAAGAAAAAAAAACAACCGCATCAAAAAGTAGGCAAAAGATAGGAACAGACACTTCTCAAAAGAAGACATTTATGCAGCCAACAGACACATGAAAAAATGCTCATCATCACTGGCCATCAGAGAAATGCAAATCAAAACCACAATAAGATACCATCTCACACCAGTTAGAATGGTGATCATTAAAAAGTCAGGTAACAACAAGTGCTGGAGAGGACGTGGAGAAATAGGAATGCTTTTACACTGTTGGTGGGAGTGTAAACTAGTTCAACCATTGTGGAAGACAGTGTGGTGATTCCTCAAGGATCTAGAAGTAGAAATACCATTTGACCCAGCCATCCCATTACTGGGTATATACCCAAAGGACTGTAAATCATGCTACTATAAAGACACATGCACATGTATGTTTATTGTGGCACTATTCACAATAGCAAAGACTTGGAACCAACCCAAATGTCCATCAATGATAGACTGGATTAAGAAAATGTGGCACATATACACCTTGAATACTATACAGCCATAGAAAACGATGAGTTCATGTCCTTTGCAGGGACATGGATGAGGCTGGAAACCATTATTCTGAGCAAACTATCGCAAGGACAGAAAACCAAACACTGCATGTTCTCACTCATAGGTGGGACTTGAACAATGAGAACACTTGGACAAAGGTCAGGGAACATCATACACAGGGGCCTGTCATGGGAGCGGGAAGGGATGGCATTAGGAGAAATATCTAATGTAAATGACAAGTTAATGGGTGCAGCACACCAACATGGCACATGTATACATAAGTAACAAACCTGCATGTTGTACACATGTACTCTAGAACATAAAGTATAATAAAAAAATTAAAAAATAAAAATAAAAAAGAAAATACACAGAGGAGATATTAGGTTGGTGCAAAAGTAATTGTGGCATTCTTATAGAATATACAAAATAGCCTCAATAGGACAAATCTAAGAGTTATTGGCCTTAAAGAGGGGGTAGAGAAACAGATAGGGGAAGAAAGTTTATTCAAAGGGATAAGAACAGAGAACTTCCCAAAACTAGAGAAAGCTATCAGCATTCAAGTACAAGAAGATTATAGAACACCAAGCAGATTTAATCCAAAAATGACTACCTTAAGTCATTTAATAATGAAACTACCAAAGGTCAAGGATAAAGAAAGGATTCAAAAAGCATCAACAGAAAAAAAAATAACTTACAATGGAGTTCTAATATGTCTGGCAGTAGACTTTTCAGTGGAAAAGGCTAGGAGAGAGCAGCATGACATATTTGAAGTGCTGAAGTAAAAAAAAAAAAGGTTACCTTGCAATAGCATATCTGGTGAAAACATCTTCAAACACGAAGAAGAAATAAAGACTTTCCCAGCAAACAATAGCTGAGGGATTTCATCAACAGCAGACCTGCACTACAAGAAATGCTAATGGGAGTACTTCAAGCAGAAATAAAAGGACGTACATGAGCACTAAATAATCACCTGAAGGTACTAAACTCACTGGTAGTAACTACACAGAAAAACACAGAATATTATAACACTGTAATCATGGTATGTAACTACTCATACCTTAGTAGAAAAACAAAATGATGAACCAATTAAAAATAATAACTGCAACAACTTTTCAAGACATAGACAATAAAGTATAAATAAAAACAACAAAAAAATTAAAAAGCAGGGGAGATGAAGCTAAACTGTTTATTGGTTTTCTTTTTGTTTATTTGTTTATGAAAACAGTATTAAGTTGTTATGAGCTTAAAATAATGGGTAATTACAAGCCTCATGGCAACCTCAAACCAAAAAACATATGATAGATATACAAAAAAAAGCAAGAGAATAAATTATATCACCAGAGATAATCACCTTCATTATAAGGAAGACAGGAAGACAGAAAAGAAGGAAGAGAGGACCACAAAACAACCAGAAAACAAATAACATAATGGCAAAAGCAAGGCCTTACCTATCAATAATAACATTGAATGTAGTGGACTAAACTCTCCAATCAAAAGGCGTAGGCTGACCAAATGTATGAAAGAACAAGACCCATTGGTCTGTTTCTGCCAAGAAACACACCTTACCTATAAAAACACACATAGACTGAAAACAAAGGGATGGAAAAAGTATTCCATGACAATGGAAACCCAAAAAACACCAGGAGTCACTATATTTATATCAGACAAAATAGATTTCAAAACAAAAACTGTAGGAGACAAAGTGTCACTATATAGTGATAAAGAGGTCAATTCAGAAAGTGGATTATAGCAATATTAAATATACATGCATCCAACACTGGAGCACCCAGATATATAAAGGAAATATTATTAGAGCTAAAAAGAGAAATAGACTCAATACAATAATAGCTGGAGACTTCAATACCCCAATATGCCTGATGAATATTGATGCAAAAATCCTGAACAAAATACTAGCAAATCAAATTCAACAACACATTTTTTAAAAATCATTCATCATGACTAAGTAGGATTTGTCACAGGGATGCAAGGATGGTTCAACATACGCAAATCAATCCAATGTGGTACATCATATTAACAAAATGAAGGACAAAAACCATATAATAATTTCAACTGATGCTGAAAAAGCATTTTATAAAATTCAACATCCCTTCATCATAAAAACATTTAAAAAAACTATAGAAGGAGCATACCTCAACATAATAAAATCCATATATGACAGACCCACAACAAGTGTCATACTGAATGGGTAAAAACTGAAAGCCTTTCCTTTAAGACCTAGAACATCACAAAGATGGCCACTTTCACCACTGTTATTCAACATAGTACTGGAAGTTGTAGCTAGAGCAAACAAGAGAAAAATATAAAGGGCATCCAAATCAGAAAGAAAGAAGTCAAATTATCATTATTTGCAGATAATATAATCTTATATTTGGAAAAATCAAATGACTCCACCAAAAAAACTATTAGAGCTGATAAACAATTTCAGTTAAGTTGCACAATACAAGATCAACATTTTAAAAATCAGTAGCATTTCTATATGCCAACAGTGAATAATATAAAAAAGAAATAAAGAACAGAATCCAATTCACAACAGTCACAAATAAAATTAAATAACTAGGAACTAACCAAAGAAGTGACAGATATCTACAAAGAAAACTGTTAAACACTGATGAAATAAATTGAAAAGGACACAAAAAATGGGAAGATATTCCATGCTTGTGGATTAGAAGAATCAATACTGTTAAACGGTCCATACTACTCAAAGCAGTTTACAGATCCAGTGCAATCTCTATCAAAATACCAATGACATTCTTCACAGAAATAGAAAACACAATCCTAAAACTTATATGGAACCAGAAAAGAGCCCAAGTAGCCAAAACTCTCATAGGCAGAAAGGACAAAACTGGAGGAATCACATTACCTGACTTCAAATTATGCTACACGGCTATAGTGAACAAAACAGCATGATACTGGCATAAAAATGGATGCATACACCAATGGAACAGAAAAGAGAACCCATAAACAAATCCACACACCTATAGTAAACTCATTTTTGACAAAGGTGCAAAGAACATACACTGAGGAAGAGAGAACGTACACTGGGGAAAAGACAGTCTCTTCAATAAATCATGCTGGGAAAACTGGATTTCCACATGCAGAAGAATGAAACTGACCCCTGTTTCTCTATATATACAAAAATAAAATCAAAACGGATCAAAGACCTAACTCTAAGACCTCAAATTATTAAACCACTACAAGAAAACATTAGACAAAGTCCCCAGAACATTGGTCTGGACAAAAATTTCTTGAGCAATACCCCACAAGCACAGGCAACCAAAGCAAAAATGGGCAAATGGGATCACCTCAAGTTAAAAAGCTTCTGCACAGCAGATGATACAATAAACAAAGTGAAGAGACAACACACAGAATGGGAGAAAATATTTGCAAACTACCCCTCTGACAAGGGATTAATAACCAGAATACATAAGGAGCTCAAACAACTCTTTAGGAAAATATCCAGTTTTTAAAATGGGCAAAAGATTTGAATAGACATTTCTCAAATGAAGACATACAAATGGCAAACAGACATATGAAAATGTATTCAACATCATTTGTCATCAGAGAAATGCAAATCAAAACTACAATGATATATCATTTCACCCCAGTTAAAATGGCTTTTATCTAAAAGATGCAATAACAAATGCTGGCGAGGATGTGGAGAAAAGGGAAACCTCGTACACAGTTGGTGGGAATGTAAGTGAGTACAAGCACTATGGAGAACAGTGTGGAGGTTCCTCAAGAATAGAATTACCATATGATCCAGCAGTCTCACTGCTGGGTATATACCCCAAAGAAAGAAAATCAGTATATCAAAGATATCTGTACTCCCATGTTTGTTGCAGTAATGTTCACAATAGCCAAGATTTGGAAGCAACCTAACTGTCCATCAACAGATGAATGGATAAAGAAAATGTACATAGACACAATGTAGTACTATTTGGCCGTAAGAAAGAATGAGGCCCTGTCATTTGCAACAATGTTAATGGAACTGCAGAGCATCATGTTAAGTGAAATAATCCAGGTACAGAAAGACAAATATCACATGTTCTCACTTATTTGTGTGATATAAACATCAAAACAATTGAACTAATTGAGATAGAGAGTAGAAGGATGGTTATTAGAGGTTGAGAAAGGCAGTAGAGGGTTGGAGGGGAAGTGAAGATGGTTAATTGGTACAAAAAAATAGAATTAATGAATAAAACCTAGCATTTGCTAGCACAACAGGGCGACTACAATCGATAATATTTTAATCATACATTTTAAAATAACTAAAAGAGTATAATTGGGTTGTTTGTAATACAGAGGACAAGTGTTTGAGCGGATGGATACCCCATTCTCTATCATGTAATTATTACACATTGCATGCCTGTATCAAAACATCTCCTATACCCCATAAATATATACACCTACTGTGTACCCATAAAAATTTAAAAATTTTAAAAGGAAATAAAACTTTTGCTTTTATTTTGTTTTTCCATCAATATTGTTAAAAAATCTCTAGTATTGATAATTTATTTTTATTTTATTATTTTCTACATAAACGGTCATCTTGTATGATACTTTATTTCTTTTTTTCTATTGTTATGCCTTCTATTTCCTTTTCTTGTTATAGTGCCCTGGCTAGTGTCATCCATACCACGAAGAATAGAAATGCTAACAATGGCATCTCTTTCTCATTCTCAGACATGAAGGAAAAGCTTTCAAAACATGAGTAGTTTTTCCCAGATGAAGTAATTACACTATTTCAATTTTGCTAAGGCTTTTTAAACACAAATTGATGATAAAAATTATCAAAGTCTTTTTTGAATCAGTGGCTGTCATGTTTTTTTTCAAGAAAAAATAATATTTTTATTCTATTCTTTTTTATACTTTAAGTTCTGGGGTACATGTGCAGAACATGCAGTTTTGTTACATAGGTACACATGTGCCATAGTGGTTTGCTGCACCCATCAACCTGTCATCTACATTAGGTGTTTCTCCTGATGCTATCCCTTCCCTGGTCCCCCATCCCCTGACAGGCCCTGGTGTGTGATGTTCTCTTCCCTGTGTCCATGTGTTCTCATTGTTCAACTCCCACTTATGAGTGAGAACATGTGGTGTTTGGTTTTCTGTTCTTGTGTTAGTTTGCTGAGAATGATGGTTTCCAGCCTCATCCATGTCTCTGCAAAGGACATGAACTCATCCTTTTTTATGGCTGCATAGTATTCCATGGTGTATATGTGCCACATTTTCTTAATCCAGTCTATCATTGATGGACATTTGGGTTGGTTCCGTGTCTTTGCTATTGTGAATAGTGCCGCAATAAACATACATGTGCATGTGTCTTTATAGCAGCACGATTTATAGTCCTTTGGGTATATACTCAGTAATGGGATTGCTGGGTCAAATGGTATTTCTACTTCTAGATCCTTGAGGAATCACCACACTGTCTTCCACAATAGTTGAACTAATTTATACTCCCACCAGCAGTGTAAAAGTGTTCCTATTTCTCCACATCCTCTCCAGCATCTGTTGTTTCCTGACTTTTTTTTTTTTTTTTTTTTTTGAGATGGAGTTTTGCTCTGTCCACCAGGCTGCAGTGCAGTGGTGCGATCTCGGCTCACTGCGAGCTCTGCCTCCCAGGTTCACGGCATTCTCCTCCCTCAGCCTCCCGAGTAGCTGGGACTACAGGTGCCCGCAACCACGCCCGGCTAATTTCTTATATTTTTAGTAGAGACGGGGTTTCACCATGTTAGCCAGGATGGTCTCAATCTCCTGACCTCGTGATCTGCCCACCTCAGCCTACCAAAGTGCTGGGATTACAGGTGTGAGCCACTGCACCCAGCCTTCCTGACTTTTTAATGATCACCATTCTAACTGGCATGAGATGGTATCTCATTGTGGTTTGATTTGCATTTCTCTAACGACCAGTGATGATGAGTTTTTTTTCCTACTTTTGTTGGCTGCATAAATATCTTCTTTTGAGAAGTGTCTGTTCATATCCTTCACCCACTTTTTGATGGGGTTGTTTCTTGTAAATTTGTTTAAGTTCTTTGTAAATTCTGGATATTAGTCCTTTGTCAGATGGATAGATTGCAAAAGTTTTCTCCCATTCTGTAGGTTGCCTCTTCACTCTGATGATAGTTTCTTTTGCTATGCAGAAACTCTTTAGTTTAATTAGATCCCATTTGTCATATTTGGCTTTTGTTGCTGTTGCTTTTGGTGTTTTAGCAATCAAGTCTTTGCCCATGCCTATGTCCTGAATGGTATTGCCTAGGTTGTCTTCTAAACAAATTTCTCTCAGAGCCCCATACTTGACACACAGAGGAAGGGGCCTATTTCCCAAATAACATTATTCATGGCCCTTAAGTCCTGCCTATGATTCAGTATGGAATTCTAAACAGTGCATTTGTTCAGAATTCTATGTAAATAGTGTATTGCATTTAAGACCCCCAGTGCCATGTCCTTTGACTTCTTTAAGGATAAATTTTACCATGAGTGAACTTCCTATTTCTCCTAAATTCAGACAAAACTTAAATGTCAGGTGTGTTACATATAACACTAAAATGTTTATGACAAAAATGATTAATTGTAAATTCTATCCATACAGGGGGCCAGTATATTCTATTTTATACTTTATATTTCCTTGAGTGCAGTGATTCTTATTGCTGTAAAAACCTTGCAGGGACCCTGGAACTAAACACTATACTAAACACTATGTAGACTATATTGATTCCAGTTAAGGTCATGAGGCTTCTAAGTAGGCTGGCTCCTCTGCCTGTGCTGCTGCTTGGGATTTCTATGTGAAGACCAATGAGGGTTATGCTCACCAAATAGAAATGCCTGGTGTAACTCTACTGGCGTGGTGAATTTTTCAAGTATGATGTTCTAAATAATTGCATACATTTAGTCATTATTTTTGGTTTTCTGTGATTGTACACATTTCAAATAGTCTTTTTATTTTGAAACAAAGCAATATTATAGTCTGTAATTATTCATTTCCATATGTTAACTCTTAGTTTTGTTTCTGTTGCCTGTCGCTTCCACTGGCTTTCATGCTTGGTACCTTGTTTCCTTTTGTGTTGGTCATTATTTTTCACTGTGTGTTGGTTATTGATTTTGAATAATTACCAGTAGGACTCACTGAGGTATGGGTTTGTTGTTTGCTTATTCCGTTCACCCTGACTCAGACCACCTGTCCCTGACCATGTTATATTCAAATTCAAGCACTGAGCTTCTCAAGCTCTCCAGGGCTGCTAACCTGTGCCAGTCTTGGTTACTTCAGGTTTTCCCTTATCCTGAGGATATATGTGAGGTGTATAAATCAGACTTCTCACCTGGATATGCCATAGGCTTTGATTTGTGGCCCTCTCATCCCAAAAGAACACTAAAGCTACAGCTCAGGATAATAACAATCTTCTGACTTGTCAAATTCTCTCTCGGCAAAAGCATTTTTGAGTATTGGGCCTACTTCTCTAGGTTATCACACTTTCTGATAAGACAATCCCTTATTATCCTATAAGTTCTAACGTGAAATTTAAGATATATTTAACATTTTATCATGTTTTAATTGTACTCACCATGGCACTGATTAAAATGACCAATTCTGCCGCTGTTGGAACAGAAACCTCAAAAGTAAATTACATGCGTGTGAGTGAAGATTAGACTCCTGGAGCTGTTACACAGGTAACACCATATTCAACATGAACTGTCCTCACCTTTGGCAGCAGTTGTTCAGATGTTATGTTCCCAGTGAGACCTGCAGTGACTCCTCCCTGCCCCTGGCACATCAACCTTCCACGTACTCTTCCACTTTTTCTTTCTCCATAGCACTCATTCCCTTCTAATAGTAGGTATCACTTACTTGTTAGTTTTATTGTCTGACTCCTATGTTAGAAGACAAATTCCATCACGACAGACATCTGTGGCTATTAGTCACTTATATCCTCGTCTAGGGCAGTGCCTACAAGGATCACCAAATAGGCCGGCGGCAGTGGCTCATGCCTGTAATCCCAGCACTTTGGAAGGCTGAGGTGGGCGGATCATGAGGTCAGGAGATCGAGACCATCCTGGCTAACAAGATGATACCCCATCTCTACTAAAAATACAAAAAATTAGCCGGATGTGGTGGCGGGTTGGCCTGTAGTCCCAGCTACTCTGGAGGCTGAGGCAGGAGAATGGCATGAACCCAGGAGGCAGAGCTTGCAGTGAGCCGAGATCGCGCCACTGCACTCCAGCCTGGGTGACAGAACGTGACTCCATCTCAAAAAATATATATAAAATAAAATAACAATCACCAAATATAGCTTTATTTATTTATTATTATTATTTTTCTTGAGAAGGAGTTTTGCTTTTGTTGCCCAGGCTGCAGTGCAATGGCGCCATCTCGGCTCACTGCAACCTCTGCCTCCTGGGTTCAAGCGATTCTTGTGCCTCAGCCTCCTGAGTAGCTGGGATTACAGGCGCCCATCACCATGCCCGGCTAATTTTTTTTGTATTATTTGTAGAGACAGGGTTTCTCCATGTTGGTCAGGCTGGTCTTGAACTCCCAACCTCAAGTGATCCCACTGCCTTGGCCTCCCAAAGTTCTGGGATTACAGGCATGAGCCACCGTGCCCGGCCTCAAATATAGTTTTTGAATGTACAAAATAAAAAATAAATGAATGAAGTGATTGATACCCTATGATTCTATTGACAGAATGTTGGGATTGTTGTCTGAAACACTAAAGAGGGGACAGGAAAGAGAAATAAATCTGGTAGTGGTCAGCATGCAGAGGTTGATTAAGCCTCTCCAGGGGCAGACATACTTTCAGAGGAGAGGCAGTCTAGTCCCCTTGAGTTTCCTAAGTAAGATGAGGCTCTGACCATGAATGAGTCACTCCAAAAGGTTGTTCCTCACAGCCACAATGTCACACTATAAGCTGGATTCTCCTCTTGGAAGTTATTGCCTGATTTTTTTTTCCACTCAGTCTCTAAGGAGTTCAGAAACCCTGCTCATTCCCACAGAAGTCACCGGTTTTGACCTGACAGAGAAATTCATAGGTTAGTCAGGGGCCTCTAACAGGTTCTTCTCTGGGACCCTATAACCATGCTGGAGACAGAGAATAGAAACACAGCCCAGATTGTTGTGGGTCTCCCAAGCTCATTGTCAGCAGGCAACCTTTCTGGAAGAAGAATATCTCCAGCAATTTTACTATGGTTCCTTTGTCATTTTCTCTCACAATGTACTCAGTAACAACTATAGATATCAGGCATGTATCTCAGGATAAGCTGATGTTGACAATGGCCACAGTCTGAAGGTTTAAAGGTATGCCTTAACTTATGGCAGAAAACAACTCTTGAAAAAATAAGAATAAAATTTTTAAAGGATTTTCAGCAGATAAAGCATTTTTTTCATGTGAAACTATTTGCATTCTCAATTATAAATTTAATTAAATTTTATTAAAGGTAAAGCAAGATGGACTTCTAATTTCCTATTCTATCTGAAAATCTTCCCTCCTGATTGACTAAAAAGCTCCACACTGGGTAATGGTCTATGGACAGATAAATTTTGACCACAAACACTCGGTGTCTTATTATTATTATATATAGAATATTAATATATCAGATTCTTCAAACTAACTAGTTTCATCAAGAAAATATTTTTATTCTAAGCTCTCTCTTCAGAGCCCCCTTAATCTCCTTGTTCCTGAGGCTGTAGATCAGGGGGTTCAACATGGGAATCACCACGGTGTAGAACACAGACACCACCTTGTTCTGGTCAGTTGAGTAGCTGGACTTGGGCATCACATAAATGAAGGTAATGGTCCCATAGAACAGAGTGACTGCAGTGAGGTGGGAGGTGCAGGTGGAGAAGGCCTTGTGGCGGCCCTTGGTGGAGTGCATCTTCAGGATGGTGATGAGGATATAGATGTAGGATATGGCTATGACACACACAGTGGCCACAATGATAGATCCAGAAGAGATAGCTGGAATTATTTCAAAAGTAAAATCATGGGAACAAGCAAGCTTCAAAAGTGGTGAATAGTCACAGAAAAAGTGATTGACTTTATTTGGCCCACAGAAGGACAGTCTTAATAAGCAGCCAATGAATGTCCAAGCATTCACACATCCACCCAGGTAGGACATGCCCACTAAGATGATGCAGACTCCAGGGGACATGCAGGTAGAGTAGAGCAGGGGTGAGCAGATGGCCACATAGCGATCATAGGCCATGGCAGCCAGCAGGAAGCACTCGGCCGTACCAAACGTCACCACAGAACAGAGCTGGGCCACACAACCAGCAACAGGGAGAGAGGTTTCTTTCCTTAGGAAGCTCATGAGCATGACAGGTGTGACTGATGAGGAGTACCCAATGTCTACAAAGGCCAAATGGCAGAGGAAAATGTACATGGGTGTATGAAGATGATGACTTCTTCTGATCAATACAATTATGCTGATATTACCCATTAAGGTGACAACATAAATTCCTAGAAACACAAGAAATAAAATAGCACAAACTGTAGTATCCTCGGATAATCCCAAAAGAGTAAACTCTACCACAGTGGTGTCATTTCCAGTCCCCATCTAAATTGGGAATGGTGCCAACTGAAAGAAAAACAAATGAATATTATAATGGGATTAAATGCTATAATTGCACACTTATTTTTCCAATATCTATTTAACCAAAAAGTATAACAATTTAGGCACTCATGTAAATTTGGGAAGAAAATGCTTTCACACACAGTATCTTATGTAAGACTTTAAAACATAAATGTTCACTGATGTAAGGTCAGGAATACTCAGAAAAATCTTTTTTTTTTTAACTTAACACACTCAACTCGTATTGGATGGTTAATTTAGGTGCTCTCTGAGCACATTTCAGAGATGACCACTAGAATATATAAAGAATCCAGTAACTCAATCTTCTAAGGCCAAAGACGTGATTGAAGGGAGACATAAATGTCAGAATAGACCAAGACTCATGGAAAAGAACAGCTGTTCAAAAGGATGTTTGAGGTATCATCTATTGTATCAAAGATGTGTAGTCATTAAGAATTCCGAATTCCAAACAGAGGTCAAACAGATTAGCTGCATGCTAATCCACAGGACCAAGAAGAGGTCAGTAACTCAACACTGAGCTGTGGTCCCCACCCAGAGATTTCACAATTGAGGAAAAGTACACCAAATATCCAGGAAGTCTGGACCGAGGCAGAAGGTGAAGTAATGCACTCACACTATAAACAAGTAAACAGAGGAAGACTGAGGTTTGAAAGAGGAGATGAGATATCTCCTAATTATCTCAGGATCAAGCTATCTGATTCATGATAGTGAGCCAATCTAGAGAAGACATGATCAGGTTACTCCTGGAAGGCTCCAAAGATACAACTTATACCCAAGACTCTGCATAAGCTGGGGCTAGGTTGCTAACAGAAGATTCCAGCCTTCTATAGAACACAAATATCCAGCCCTATCTGAATAGTTGCTGTCTGAAAAAAATTGCATCTGTAGGTCACCTTCTGGAAGGCCCTCCTCCATACCAACTCGCTTGAGAAAAATCAAGAAAATGCAAGAAAAGCAGGAGAGCTTTCTCACAGCTTCAAAAGGTCCTAGAAATAATCCACTCGATTCTCTCACTTTATAAAATTATAAACGGAGATCTAAAAAAGATAGATAATAAACACCATTGTCCAACATAACTTTAGATCAAATGGCTTTCTGGAAACTGAGCTAAAATGAAGAACCATATTCTTGGACTTCTAATTCATTTACTATCTTTATTTCACATATTATACATCTTTTCTATGATTTCTAAAGAAGACTATAGACTATCAGAAAGTATATTTGGTTCATTACATATTTAAAAAGGTTTTAAAATTATGCTAACATATAAATAATACATTTACTCTTGAAAGGGGAATTTTGCAGTGCAGTAATTCACATAAAGATGCGGCTGAGAGATAACGACAATTCTTTGAGGCAGGTGATAGTCTCCTTCAGTGCCCAGCACCTAGGGAATTGATATGCTTTTGTTTTCAGCTGAACAGTTGTGAGTGCCTGATAGATGAGGGGTCAAATTTCACTAAGATTTTCTTTTTTCTGAGCAACGAAAGGGACAGATATGGAATGTTAGGGTATATGCAAGGTAGAGAGTAAAATAACCACTACATTTAAGCTAGGCAAAGATGAAGTGAGTACCTGAGATGGGTAAAATCAACAAAATGGTTATAGCCTTTCTGCAAGGATTGAAAATTTGCTATAATTATTCTACCAGTGAAAACAAGCAGGAAAAACAAGAAATGATGGTAGTTACAGTTTGGGGTGCTTAAAAATGAGATTACGGAAAAGCTACAGTTATTGGCAAATGCTAATGTCTAAACTCTAACAACGGGAGAGACAGGTTTTAGGGAGGAAAACAAATTTTTTTTGAAGATATGTCAAGAAACTAAGAAGCCAAAATGTTGAAAGCAACCTCTATGTGGAGGTATTAAAGCCACCAGGAATAGTGACAGAAATAATGTAAGAAAATGAGTGAGCCAGAGCCAAAAATCTTCCAAAGATGCGGAGACATGATGCTAGCCAGTTGATGACTGCAAATGCATGAGGAGAGAAAGGTAAGATTGGTTAGTATAGTCTGATGACATAAAACTCAACTATGGGTATTTGTAGGTAGGAAGGAGAGAGAATGTCCACAAGCAGCAACAAGGGAAATGGAAGATCCTATCCATCACCAGGTTCGGGGTAAAAGTGGTAAGAGAAAAAAAAGTTCATCATTTGAGAAGGCTGCAGAGAAAACATTGTCCTCAGGGACAGCCAAGTGTCTGTTGAAAAGGACAGTAAGGGAAATGGAATGTTCAAAACCAATACTGAGGACATAAGAAATTTTGTTGATAACTGTGACTGCAGAAGGGCACAGGAAAAAGGCTTCAAGAGTTAAAAAGAGATGGATATGGGACCTCTTGATTCAAGAGAAGGCTTGGATACTTGAAAATAACCTTTCTTAGCTCCAGCTGAATAGAGATGGCATTCTGAGAGAGAGAGTACAGAAGATAATACACACAATTGTCTAACATACATTAGTTGCTACAATTTAATTGCTGAATAGCAGAAGGGAGGGTGAAAGCTAATCCCAAAGTTGTGAAGATTGTGAGGAAGGGGTAATAGGTAAACAACTCAGCTGACCTGGAGTGACTTAACAGTTTTGAGGCAATCCCAGTATCTCACCCAAGGAAAAGTCATCCCTATTGAAGAATTTAAAACCAATGAGAAACACTAGTAGGTAAAATCAAAGGGTCAAAAATCCTGGAGTTAAAAAAACAAAAAAACTGGATTCTGGTGATAGTCATTTCTGAGATTACTGCAGTGGTGACTTCACGTAGATTCAAAACTGCCATTGCTAGTCATGGTTACCTTTATGGAGTATGCATCTGGAATATTACATATGGTCTGTCAAGACTTTCATCTCTACCTATGCTGTTATTTCATATAGGGTTTCAAAAAATTGGCTAGAAATAGAGAACATCTTACTAGGACAGGGAAGAATGAAGATGAACAGATATTATACAAAATGTTTAAACTGAACGTGGAGATATAAGAAAGAAAATTTCCAAAATGAGAAGTTGATTTTTATGAAGGAGAGAAAAATTACCATAAAAATAAAATGTATGCTTCATCATAAATATGAAAAAATATTTGAAAATATATATTTGTGTCTGTATTTGTAGGGTCTCATGACTTTATGAAAAAGCAACCTTTTTGGGTAATAGAAGTTGGGATTACAGCATAGAAAGACCAATATGCACCAAAGGGCATCAGCAAAATGGGGAAGAATGTTGCAGTGGCTGCTACAAAAATAGGGTTGCTGATACAGAAATTCCATGTTGATTGGTTGGGAATATGAGTAAAGAGAAACAGAAGATACAGAGTTTTAAAGTGAATGAAGGAACATAAGCAATTTATCTTGGGCAAGAAATGGCTCCTGAAGGAAATTAACTTTTATCTTATTTTTTTTTTTACTACTCCAGTGCTTTTTAGAAGTCTGAGGATACACAAAATAACTGCTCAATACATGGGAGAACCATCAAGCAGTCACAATTGTGCCCAGTTGGAATGGGCTGCAAATTGGTGACAGCACTATGAAAGAGATTCAGGAATTACAGGTCTACCTGAGCTAATGTGATGCTGTGACATTTTAAAATGATATTCTAGGATTCAGCATAGTAAATTAATCCACTATAGTCTATACTCTACACATCCATATGAAGATAATGCGTTAACTTTCTCAATAGATTGCTTTCACTCTGGAGTCTGCAAACACTTTGCTCTTTGCTTCTATGTATCTTAAGTATCCAATTGATGCCTCTATTAGAATTAAGAAAAAAGAGAAGCAAAAGTGTTTTTTTAAAAAAGTAGAGAGGAATGAATGAAAGGCAGAGGACTATGAAAGGCAGACCATACAGAGGGAGCCAAAAGAGGTGCTATAGCTGATAAGACAAAAGAGGGAATTTTTATTTCACATGTCAACAATTTAATTCCATTTTTATCAATGATATCTTCTTCTATGGAAGAAAATTAAGATAATTCAATGTTTTCCTACATCATTTAATATAAGGTTTATTTACTCTTGGAAACTTCCATTCTTTATTGCTCCTCAACAATAGCAACCACAAAAATTCCCATAATTCTCTTTTTAAAGATCAACCAAAATTAAGGAATAATGTATTTTTCTTTAAAGAATTTGCTCTCAAGCAGACTGAACACTCTTGCACACATGCACTGCTGTCTCTTTCTCTCTCTCACACACACACCACATGCATACGCACAAACACACTGGCATCAAAGTCATGTGCTCATCCAGCCACATTATTTTCACACTTTTATTCTGAACTGAGATGCTTGAATAATTTCACGTCTGAATTAACTGATCAATATCATGCTATGTTAAGAACACCATGCAATTACATGTTTGAACTCTAAAGTCCTATCTTCCTTATCTTTGTACAGGGCTTTATTAAGTGGCATGGACCCAAGAATGAATGAATGCTTAAAATTTTAGAAAAGATAGATGTGTATAATAGAAATTCAGAGTCAGTTATACATGCTATTATGGCATGGAAGCAATGTGTTGGACAGAAATGCCATGAGCTTTGGAGACATACGGCCCTGGGATTAGATTCAGCTTTGTCACCAGCAATCTATGGAATCTTGGAAATTTTACATAAACTGTTCAACTCTTCATTACGTTATTTGTTTAAAAAAATACTTCACATGATTCTTGTGTTGAATAAGATGATGTACATGATAATACCAAGTATGGATCATAGAAATAAGTGAATGTTCAACAAATGATTATTTCCTTTAAAAAACTATACCTTAACTTCTAATACAAAAATGAGAAACAAACATTCCTGTATCAATAGAAAAGGGAAATTATTACCTGCAGATGAATGTACATCAGCAATAATAACAAATTGCAAAGAACTGTCACTGTATAGGAAGGTGATATTTATGAGATTTGGGGTCCTTTGGGATATAGCCTCTTGAGTACACTACTTGTTTATAAAAATTTCACTGAAAATTCATCAAGACAATGGAAATTACAGGTACATATGCTCATAATAATATGTGTTGCTGCTGGGCATGGTGGCTCACACTTGTAATCCCAGCACTTTGGAAGGCCAAGGTGGGAGAATTGTTTGAGGCCAAGAGTTCAAACAAGCTTGGGCAACATAACAAGACCCCATCTCTACAAAAAAATATATATATATAAATAAATAAAAGTAAAATTAGCCAGGTGTCATGGCTCATGCCTGTAGTCTCAACTACTCAGGAGGCAGAAATGGGAAGATTGATTGAAGTCAGGAGTTTGAGGCTGCAGTGAGCTAGAATTGCACCACTGTACTCCAGCCTGGGCAACTAAGCAAGACCTCAACTGAAAAAAAAAAGTCTAAAAACATCTGTAAATTTATTTATTTTTAGTATGCATTAGAATTTTTTAATAAAACTTTTTGATGAACTGCTAAATCCCCTGTAACTATATTGAGATTTATAGGAATAAGCAAGAGTACAGTGTACCAGAGTAATTTCTCTTCAAAATAAAAATTCTTCTGGGAAAAAATAAATGCTTATGTTTTCTGTATGTTTCTAGATGATACTACCTTTATTTTTTAATTAAACTTTTTACTTTGAGATTATTGTAGATTTACATGCAGTTTTAAGAAATGAAATTAATACAGAGAGATCTCATATGCCCTCTACCCAATTTCTTCCAATGAACGCATTTTGAAAAACTGTAGTGTAATATCACAATGAGGATACTGGCAGTGATACAGTCAAGATACAGAACATTTCCATGAGCACAATAACCCCTCACATTACTCTTTCATAGCCACAACAACTTCTGTCCCATCCCCATCCCTTCCTTAACTTCAGGAATCCTCTAATATGTTCTCTGTTTCTACATTTTTATAATTTCAAGTATTTTATTATTATGTAATATCCCTTTCTGCCTCTAGTAATTTTCTTTGCTCTGAAGTCTACGTTATTCAATATTAATATAGCCACTGCTTTTCTTTTGATTAATATTTACATGCTATGTCTTTTTCATTATTTTACTTTCTTTTTTGGATTTTGTTTTGGTTTTTTTGAGATGGAGTCTTGCTCTGTCACCCAGGCTGGAGTGCAGTGGCACAATCTCGGCTCACTGCAAACTCCACCTCTCGAGTTCAAGAGATTCTTTTGCCTCAGCCTCCCGAGTAGCTGGGATTACAGGCGCCTGCCACCACGCCCAGCTAATTTTTGTATTTTTAGTAGAGATGGGGTATCACCACATTGGCCAGGCTGGTCTCAAACTCCTGGCCTCGTGATCCACCCACCACAGCCTCCCAAAGTGCTGGGATTACAAGTGTGAGCCATCACACCTGACCCATTATTTTACTTTCAATTTGCCTCTATTATTATATTTGAAGTGACTTTCTTGTAGACAGCATAGAGCTGGGTCATGTGTTTTAGTTCACTTTGCTGGGTGAGGGCTCAAACAGAAACAAGGAACATGCTGTTTTGAAACTGGAGAAAAAGTTATCCTTGTTAGATAGTGACAGAAAGTCTAGCTTAATTTTGACCTACAGTTACATGGAAAGCAGAACTTGTAAGTGATGAACTTGGATGTTTAGATAAGCAGATTTACAAAGTTTTGAAGGTACAGCCTATTGTTGTTGTTTACCCAACGTATTAAAATGTGAGAACAAATTACTTAAAGGTGAAGGACCCTCTTGTCTAATGATGTGAATAGTCATAACATACATGGGAGAACCAGGTTTTCAAAAATGATATAGTTTCAGAAACACCACCAGCTTGTGCTAAAGGGACAGAGACAGAACAAAATGAAAGAAGGCTGTAAGACTCATAAAATTCTACAAGCAGGAAAAGGCTGATAAAACTAATCAGCTACAAATATGTGCTACCTATCAAGAAAAAGAAAGGATAACTTCAAGAACAAACCCTTTGGCCCAAAAGCTGGAGCCTTGGGTCTAGGATTTAGAGCCATGGTGCAGAGGTTGGAGCAGTGCACACAGAAAATATTAGTCTCAGACCTAGAGCATGGAGCATTGAGTCACTAAGTGTTATTCATAGGCCTTGAAATGCCGTGTTTGCCCTGATGAACTTCAGAATTGCTTGGGTCTGATGACCTTTTCCCTCCTTCCACTTCCCCCCTTTTAGAATGTAAATGTCTATTACTGTTACATCATGATGCCTGTATCATTATATTTGGGGAACAGATATCTTGTCTTCTTGTTTCACAGGTCCACAGATGGAGAGAAATTTTGCCCCAGGATGGATCATACACAGTATCCTACCTATATCTGATTTAGGTAATTTAGATAATGAGATTTGGGACTTTCAAGCTGATGATATTTAGATGATATTTTGGGCTTTAGTTGATGCTGTATTGGGTTGAGGCTTTTGAGGATTTGGAGGTGGGATGAACACATTTTACCTGTGGAATGAACATAAATCATTGGGGGCCAGAGAGAAGACTGTAGCAGACTGAATAATGGCCCCCAAAGATATCAGGCCCCAATCCATGGAATCTATAAATGTTACCTTACTTTAAAAATGGTCTTTGCATATGTGATTAAGAATCTTAAAATGGAGTAATGGAGTGATTATCCTAGATTGTCTGGGTGGGCCCTAAAAGCAATCACAAGTATCATTATAAGAGAGAGACAGAGGGAGAATGTGACACAAACAGAGAAGGAGAAGGCAATGTGACCAAAGAGAAAGAGATTGGAGTGGTTTGGCCACAGCAAAGGAATGCCAGAAGCCAGCAGAAGCTGGAAGACACAGGAAATGGATTCCACCTTGGAGCCTCCAGAGGGAGTATGGCTCTGTTGCCACCTTGATTTTTGCCCAGTGATACTTATTTTAGACTTCTGGCCTCCAGAACTGTGAAATAATAAGTTTCTGTTATTTTAAGCTTCCAAATTCATAGTAATTTGTTACAATAGCCACAGGAAACTAATACACATGATAACAAATGATCACTCTCTCCAGAGGTCCCAGGGTATTTGTCAAATGAATTCATTTATTCATTCATTCCAAAATATGCACTGAATACTACTATATCCCAAGCTTCCTTGGGATGTAGTGATAAACAAATCAGAAAAAAAATCACTGAACTCATAGAACTTACATTCTAGTATTCTAGTGTTGGGAGATAACAATAAATCATATATATGAATGAAATAAGGAAGTAAACCACGTAAAGGTTTAGGGGGAAAGCTTTTCAAGGAGGTTTTACTCCCTTTAAATTTGAGTAATGCAAAATCTACGAGAAGAATAAGCCACTGAGGCTAGATCACAGTAAGCCAACATTCAAATGATTGTATGTATCTGGTACTAGCAAATTACAGGGGGAAAAGGTACTTTTATACATTATGAAAAATATATGAATTTTCTAAAAACTTTTGGAAAATATCCTGGCAAATTTTATTTAAAATTTCAAGTGCTGTACTCCAAAATTTCACTTTGAGGAATTAATCCTAGAGGTAATAATAACCTGAAAAAATACATATACAAAAAGATGTTCATCACATGATTGCTTAAACAGCAGAAAAATTGCAGTGTCTAGTGTGCATCAACAAAAGAATTGTTGAAAAAATGATGGCACCTTCATCCTATGGATTACTATGTGGACATTAAAAAGATAAAATGTCCCCATATGTTCAGCTTCTGAAACAAGCCCATGATATACTCTTACATTTCCAAAGTCTCTAATATGTTTTTATAACTTATTCTTAACGTTTCATAATCATATTTTCTTATTTTTATATAGCACTTTCTCCTGAATCATTAAAAAGATTATATTTATTTTAATGTGAATTTTATCATGATAGCTTTACAAACTCTCTTTACTTGGATTTATGTTCTGTTGCCTTTTTTCTTTTCTTTACTTCTGGTTTTTGTTTTTATTTTGCTGTTGTCTTTTGAATTTGTCTCTCTTATTTTGTGATTCTAGTAATCCTAAAAGATTTGGGGGGCGGGTTACTATAAGTGCATTTTTATAATGGGGATTTTCTGCTGAACTGCCCACTGATTCTTACATGGGAAAGGTGCAAAGACAGTGGTACTGCTCCCTGTTTCGTTAGGCAGGGAAATAGGTAAGATGAACAGCTAGGAAAGGTACCTCAGCCACCTGTCTTCTGGGTTTTACTACCATACCTCGACTCTGCCCAAAGCACTGTTTCTGCTTAGAGACAGACACCTCGATCACTGCTGCCTCTTCCTTTGGAAGAGGTATTGGAATAGAAACAGGAATAAACTAGCCTGGCTTCTCTCCCTACTTATATCCTTGTGCATAGTCTGGAGCTCCTCTGTGTTTTACTCCTTTTTGAAAGGAATATTCCTGGTGTTTTAGTAAACCCTCCATGTGATTCTGATCCACACCAAAGTTTAAGAATCACGACCTCAGTGTTCTCAATCTTGGCTGAATATCAGAACAACATGGAAAAATTAAAAGAATACTGCCTGAACCCTTTCCCAAAGATTCTGTTTTAATTGGTATAGGGTATGGCCCGTGCACTGGGATTTATAAAGACTCCTCAGGTGATTTTGATATCCAGGTAACTTTGTGATCCACTGCTCTTATCGTTTCCAAATGCATGGATGAAATATCACTGTATGCAGAGTCCCGTCTGTTCTGTCTAGATGTTTAGATGAGCCGGTTAGTAGAAATTCATTCTGGAGTCAAGATCATTGACCAACCTTACTATTCACAGAGCTAATGAGATATGTGCATCCATTTTCATGAGTATTTCAGAGGGAAGACTGGGAGGATCCTGAAACATGTATTGTCACTTTCTATTATTGTAACCCAAAGTCTTGAAGTAATACCTTACTTGGACCACAAAGTATTTTAATTATTCATTCATTCATTCATTTGGCAGATATTTATTGAACATTAACAGTGTTTCAAACTCTCTTCTAGGCACTCAGGATAAAATAATGAACTAGGCAGACAAGGTTCCTGCCCTCATGGAGCTTATATTTTAGTAGGTAAGGCAGATAGTAAACTATAAACAAATGCATGATAACATAATGACCAATTATAAGTGCTACAGAAGAAATAAACAGGAATTTTTTTATAAGTTAACTTTCTGTAATGGCATTCTAAATTCACTCAGAAGCCCAAGCCTTCCCATGACAGATCATATATATCTAAATCTATATCTATATACATATAATATGTGTATGTGTGTTTGCTTAAAGTATATCAAAAAGACTCTCTGGTCCTCAAAGTAAAATGAACACAGAGAAGTTAAAAAAATCTACCTGAAATCACACAGAAAATGCTGAGACTGGGATTTGAATGTTAGCGCTGTAGTCTGGTTCTGAAGCCTGTATTTATAACTCCCTCACAACCTTTTTTTTTTTTTTTTTGAGACGGAGTCTTGCCCTGTCTCTCAGGCCGGAGTACAATGGCGCGATCTCTGCTCACTGCAACTTCCACCTCCCGGTTTCAAACGATTCTCCTGCCTCAGCCTCCCGAGTAACAAGGATTACAGGTGCCCATCACCACACCCAGCTAATTTTTGTGTTTTTAGTAGAGACAGGGTTTCACCATGTTGGCCAGGCTGGTCTCAAACTCCTGGCCTCATGATCCGCCCGCCTCGGCCTCCCAAAGTGCTGGGATTACAGGCGTGAGCCCCAGCACCCAGCCTCCCTCACCACTTCTTAGTCAACTGTACCTTGGGATAAAATATTAATATGAAATATCCTTTTTTGTCCCTTTTAACAGTTTTTACCTTGAAATCTATTTTGTACTCTCTTATGTTGTTATGCTTTCTTTATTCTGTTATAATTTTTCCTGGTAATATCTTTTGAGAGGAATTTATTTTCAATCTTCCTCTTCCAAGTTCAAACCAACCTACCGAATTGCCTTTTCCATTTTTCCATCATGGATGGGTCTTTTGCTCCATTTTTTTACCTCATAGGTAGTTGAGAAGATATAAACCCTCTTTCTATTATTCTAATATTATCTTAAGACAAAGGGTGATCAAGTTAACATAATTCTGAGAAAGATTTTATATATATATAAAATCTGTTTATATATATATAATCTGTTTATATATATAAAATCTGTTTGTTTATATATATATAAAATCTGTATATATATATATATATATATATATATATATATATATATATATATATATAATCTATTCCACAATCATTCTTTCTGATAAGGAATGGAAAAGAAGGTATTTGCCAGATCAATTGCCCCATACCACGTATTTGAGGCTGTAATAATCTCTAAGCAAAGATACCACACATGTAGCACAGCAGCTGCATTTGGGGTTAATGCTTTGTTGAATTTGTAGGATCTTTCCGGTTTTTGTAGGAACTACACTGGTGAATTAAACGAAACCTTTAAGAACCTAATGATACCACCACCCTAGTATCATTAGGTTCTTAAAGATGGCATTGATATCTGCCATTTCCCTTTGAGATTAGATTTTTATTTTTTAGTAATTTGGCCAGGAAATGGGCAGTTTCAGAGGCTTCCACTCAGGCTTCACTACTATGATGGCTCTTAAAGCTAATAAATCAATGTGGATATTCTGCCCATTACTACTATTCTACCATTTTGTTCATTCCATATACCTTTTGAGAACAAAGAAATAGCACTGGATGGGTCCATGCATTCATGGACATACATAGGCCCTGGATCCCATTTATTATCTGGCCCTCCTATACCCTAAAAGTGGCCACGATGAAGCTTTAGGTCATAGGTGTCAATGTCAATTCAAATTTCGCATGTTATAAGCCTTGATAAGTTTGGATATTTCTGTTTCCCCAGGATTTAGTTACTCCAGTAATGACCATAGTTCTCTTTGAGGAAAGGCTATATATATATAACTCCACTGGCCAAAGGCAAAAATATATATATAACTGCACTTTCAGGGTCCTTGATCATAGGTCCTGGCCTCTTCTTCAGTCAGAGGGCTCTGAGTCTGAAAACTGGTTCAGGTGTGGAAACTGGGCAAGAGATCACCTGTTTTTGTTTGAGCAGCTATAATCACCCCCCTCTAATCTCTATCCTTGATTTCTTTTAATTGTGTAGATTGAGCATGTTGTTGTTGTCTACCCATTTGTCTTATCTCAGAAACATCATTTACTTTTATTCTGATGCCATATCATCTCCATTTCTATCAAAGGTTCACTTCTGTAATGACATCATTACAATCAGCCCTATCCTACAGAGGATAGCCACCACTGAGCTTCTCAGTGACATTGGTGTCCTTCTCACCAGCATATTCCTTTTGTTTAGTAAACAGAATGTCCTCTGGGACCTTATATGGAGCCTAGTTATCTGGTGGACTTTTCATTTTCACGTATTTATTCTAGCAAGTGCTCTTCTCTAAGCTTTTCTATCCCTCCTTCTACTGTCTTCCACAGCAGTTCTGACATTTCTACTTAGTGTGCGTCACCAATTTCTGCAAGTTTCTAAAAGCCATCGTAGCAGCTTCTTTGCATCATATGCTGTGATCTTTACCAAGATATTAAATCCTATAGTAAGGGAGAGGGCTCCAACACTGATAAATTATCTCTTATCCAATTTGATGTCTGACCCTTTGATTCAGCATGTACTCTTTTCAGCTCCTGATTCTACATGTTGACTAGGTCCTACAGCTCCCATAGCAGACTCAGCCTTTTCCCTGTTAGGTTATGTTATGATTTACCCTTAGTTATAATCAAGTGGTTAAGAAAAGGTAGGGACAGAGTTTAAGGAGAACATATGTTGTTTTGCAAGATAGCATCCTCTGTTTTATCTTTATCTACGGGTGGAACACAAACATTTAACAGGGAAGAATCCAGAGGGTTTAGAAGAATCTAGTGATTCAAGATTTTTAAATGCATCAACACAGATACCCCTATTCCATGACTCAGTGTCTCATTCTTTCCTAATTAAGATCTTGAACTTAGTAGTCAAGCTGCAGTGGCTTAAAATTCTAACATAATGTCTACTTCTCTCATAATCAAGTCTTAAGCCTGATTCCTAGCCTTTTACGTTACAGGCTACAGGAGATGCTAGACTCCAAATGCTATAAGGAGGGACTGTGGCTCTCAAATTTAACTTTTAGTTGGTAATTAATCAACTTCAGCCTTTCAAAGTCTTTCTCAAAACCCTCTACTGTTTCTACAACAGACATCCAATTCCATTGCCCTTATAATTACTATTTCCCTTTTATGTCTCAAATACTTAATACATTTAATCTGCCAGTGCCTTCTTTTCTACTAGTATGTCATCCCTATTTACCACCGGATAAAGTGTTAATAATTATAGCACTAAGGGCTGCTCAAACTCCACTTACCACCAGTGATGGAGTCCTCATTTCCAGCCAGCTGGTGGGTGATCCAGCTCCAAACTCCAATTTTATATTATATTTTTTACTACCTGTTATGAGCTGAATGTGTCCCTTCAAAAAATCACACGTTGAAGCTCTAACCCCCAATGTGATGGAATTTGAAAGTGAGGCCTTTGGGAAGTAATTTTGTTTCTATTAGATCATGATGGTAGGATCCTGGTGATTTGATGGTATTAGCGCCCTTATAAGAAGGAAACTGATCTCTCTCTCTCTCTCTCTCTCTCTCTCTATCTCTCTCTCTCTCAAGCTTGCACCAAAGAAAAGCCCTAGGAGGACATAGTAAGAAGGTGACTGCCTACAAGCCAGGAAGTGAGCCTTCCTGAGACACCAAATCTGCCAGTATCTTGACTTTGGACTTCACAGTCTCCAGAACTGTGAACTGTGAATAATAACAGATTAACAGGTTAATCTATCCAGTCTACGGTATTTTGTTATAGCTGAGAAGCAGTCTGAGATAGAGATTTGTATATAAGATATTTATTAGGAAGTGTTCTCAGCATTCACTCCTGTAAACACTGAAGCAGAATTAGGTAGAGAGAGAAGCTGGCCTACAGTGCAATCACAGCAACGGCTTCAGCAGATCTCACAGGGAACACAGTCACTGGGATGGCCCTGCAAGTGGTTTCCAACTTAAGCAATGTGTTTGGGCCTTTATGCCAGTGCATCGACTAGCCTCAAATTGGAGCAAGGGGGAATGACCTACTTCACCCAAAGACAATTGCCAGAAGAGCAATGGGGAAAATGGTTCAATCCCAGAATGCTGTGGACAGCATACCACAGCATCCATCTTAGATGTAAAATGGTACCTCATTTCTCTGGTTCTTCCCAAGATAATGTAGCTTTTCATACGCTTATTGACCACTTTGTGGGTTGAATACCGAGGTTACACATTGCCTCATGAAATGATTAGCAAACTTTGTCTCTTTCTCTATTCTTGTAACTAATTATTAAAAGAGAAACACTAACTGTGCCTCAAATTTTTAGTAAAATCAGCTGGTTAACAGTGTGGGGTTTTCTTGGGGGGAGGGCGCTGACATAGTTTTGTGGGGGTTAATGAAACGGTTCTGATTCTAGGATTCTGAGCCACTCACTGCTCCAGCTGTAACAGATGCCTCTGTTGCTCACTGCTTTGCACTAGCAGGAACAGAAAGAATGTCTGTATCCCGTCACTGCTTCTATTAGAGCACAAACCACTGCACCAACCACATTTTAGGCAGTCCGTCCTGTTTCCCAAGGCTACCACCTTGCAGAAATCCTCTTACAGATACATTTTGGCTAAAGTTTCTTCTCAGGAAATTTTCTCCTGCTTTCATTTTTCAGGGATTCTTTTATAATTTTTGGTTCTCCAATGGTGCTTTAGCATTTGGAGGAACAGTAGAGAAAGGGGTAAATAGGTTTTGAGAACCAAACAAACAGGTCCTGACAAAATTACATTATGGAGCAACAAAGAAAAATAGAAATTGCAACGTTGCTTTATTTTCTATAGTTTTACTATGTAAACGTTTATTGCTGAATGCCCTAGCTTTGCCTGCTTTTAAACTTTATGTAGCTAGAATCATACATTTTTTTTCTTTTGACTTATTTAACATTGTTTGTGAGATTCATCCACTTTGTGCATATATAGTTTATTCACTTTCACTGTTATATAGTAGTCCATTGCATAACATTATGTATTTTTCTATTGTACTGATTATGTACATTTAGATTGTAGAGGTATCTTTAAATATCCTCCACTAAAATGGAAGATTTAAGATGATAGATTTATCTATGTCTCCTTACAGTTTTGTTAGTTTTTGCTTTATATATTTCAGAGCCATGTTATTAGATGTATACAAAGATAAATTGTATCTTCTTGCTGGGTTAACCCTTTTATGGTCACAAATGATTGCTTTTTTATCTGATAAACATTGTCAGAGCAGTTTTTTTTCAATGGAGTTATACGATTTTGTTTTACATTTATGTACAATTTATGTACAACTTTTTTACATTCAGGGGTTACGTGTACAAATTCGTAAATGGATATATTGAGTGATGCTGAAGTTTGAGCTTCTATTGAACCTATCACTCAAATAGTGAAGATGGTAAACAATAGGTAGATTTCAACCCTTGTCCCCCTCCCTCCTTCCATTTAGAGTCCCCAGTGCCTGTTAATTCTGTCTATGTGCGTGTGTACCCAATATTTAGCTCCTATTATACATGAATATGTGTTATTTGGTTTTCTGTTTCTTCATTAATTCACCTAGGATAATGGCCTCCATCTCCATCCTTGTTGCTGCAAAGAACATGATTTCATTCTTTTATGGCTGCATAGTATTCCATGGTGTATACATACCACATTTTCTTTACCCAATCCACTGTTGATGGGCACATAGGGATTGATTCCATGTCTTTGCTATTGTGAATAGTGCTGCAACAAACATTAGACCGCATGTATCTTTTTGGCAGAATGATTTATTTTCCCTTGAGTGTGTACCCACTAACGGGATTGCTGGGTAAATTGCTATCTTTAGTTCTTTGAGAAGTCTCCAAACTGGTTTCCACTGGAGCTGAATTAATTAATTTACATTCCCACCAATAGTGTATAAGCATTCCTTTCTCTCTGTGACCTTGCTAACATTTGCTAAAAAATATATATAAATATATATAATATATTTATAATAGCCATTTTGACTAGTTTGAGATAATATCTCATTGTGGTTTTGATTTGCGTTTCTCTAATGAATAGTGATGTTGAGCATTTTTTCATGTTTTCTGACAATTTATGTCTTCTTTTGAGAACGGTCTGTTCATGTCCTTTTCCAACTTTCTAATGGAGTTATTTGGTTTTTGCTTCATGATTTTTTAAAATTCCTTATAGACTCTGGATATTAGTCGTTTATCAGATACATAGCTCACAAATATTTCTCCCATTCTGTAGGTTATTTACCTTGTTGATAGTTTATTTGGCTGTGCAGAAGCTCTTTTGTTTAATTAGGTCCCAGTTGTCAATTTTGGGGTGTGCTGCATTTGCTTTTGAGGTCTTAGTCATAAATTCTTCACCAAGGCCAAAAGCCAGAAGAATATTTTGTAGGTTTTCTTGTAGGATTGTTATAGTTTGAGGTCTTACACTTAAGTCTTTACTCCACCTTAAGTTAATTTTTGTATGTGGTAAGAGGGTAGGGATTAAGGTTGATTCTTCTGCATATTGTTACCCAGTTTTCCAGCACCATTGATTAAATAGTCTGTCCTTTCCCCATTGTTCTTTATTTCTGAGTTCTCTATTTTGTTCCATTGGTCAATGTGTCTATTTTTGTACCAGTACCATGGGTTTTGGTTACTGTAGCCTTATAGTATGAGACACCATCTCACATCAGTGAGAATGGCTACTATTAAAAAGTTTTAAAAATATCAAATGCTGGTTAGGCTATAGAGAAAAGGTGATACTTATACACTGTTGATAGGAATGTAAATTAGTTCAGCCTCTGTGGAAAGCAGTTTGGAAATTTCTCAAAGAACTTAGAACTATCATTTTACCCAGCAATCCCATTACTGGATATATATATACCCAAAGGAAAATAAACCATTCTACCAAAACTACACATGTACTCATATGTTCATCACTGCACTATTCACAACAGCAAAGACATAGAACCAACTCAGCAAAGACACAGAACCAACTGGATAAAGAAAATATAGTACATATACACCATGGACTGTTATGCAGCCATTAAAAAAATAAAATCACATTAATTTGAGATGGATTAAAGACTTAAATGTTAGACCTAAAACCATAAAAACCCTAGAAGAAAACCTAGCCAATACCATTCAGGACATAGGCATGGGCAAGGACTTCATGACTAAAACACCAAAAGTAACGGCAACAAAAGCCAAAATAGACAAATGAGATCTAATTAAACTAAAGAGTTTCTACACAGAAAAAGAAACTACCATCAGAGTGAACAAGCAACCTACAGAATGGGAGAAAATTTTTGCAATCTACTCATCTGACTAATATCCAGACTCTACAAAGAACTTAAATAAATTTACAAGAAAAAAACAACCCCATCAAAAAGTGGGCAAAGGATATGAACAGACACTTCTCAAAAGAAGACATTAATGCAGCCAACAGACACATGAAAAAATGCTCATCATCACTGGCCATCAGAGAAATGCAAATCAAAACCACAATGAGATACCATCTCACACCAATTAGAATAGTGATCGTTAAAAAGTCAGGAAATAACAGGTGCTGGAGAGGATGTGGAGAAATAGCGCTTTTACACTGTTGGTGGGAGTGTAAATTAGTTCAACCATTGTGGAAGACAGTGTGGCAATTCCTCAAGGATCTAGAACTAGAAATACCATTTGACCCAGTGATCCCATTACTGGGTATATATCGAAAGGATTATAAATCATGCTACTATAAAGATACATATGTTTATTGCAGCACTATTCACAATAGCAAAGACTTGGAACCAATCCAAATGTCCATCAGTGATAGACTGGATTAAGAAAATGCAGCACATATACACCATGGAATACTATGCAGCCATAAAAAGGATGAGTTCATGTCCTTTGTAGGGACATGGATGAAGCTGGAAACCATCATTCTGAGCAAACTATCACAAGGACAGAAAACCAGACACTGCATGTTATCACTCATAGGTGGGAATTGAACAATGAGAACACTTGAACACAGGGCAGGGAACATCACACACTGGGGCCTGTTGTAGGGTAGGGGGCTGGGGGAGGGATAGCATTAGGAGAAATACCTAATGTAAATGCCAAGTTGATGGGTATAGCAAACCAACATGGCACATGTATACCTATGTAACAAACCTGCACATTGTGCACATGTACCCTAGAACTTAAAGTATAATAATAAAAAAGACACAAACACCCCAAATAAAGAGATTAATATTACTTTAAGAATAAAAAATAAATAAATAAAATAAAATCACATCCTTTGCAGCAACATGGGTGCAGCTGGAGGCCATTATCCTAAGCAAATTAACACAGAAACAGAAAACCAAATATCACATGTTCTCACTTATAAGTGGTAGCTAAGCATTGGGTACACATGGACATCAAGATGGGAGCAATAGACACTGAGGACTACTAAGGAGGATGAGAGAGAGTGAAGAAATAGCTGAAAAACTACCTATTCCTTACTATACTCACTACTTGGGTGATGGGATCACGTGTACCCCAAACCTCAAAATCAAACAATATAGCCATGTAGCAAACCTGCACATGTCCCCCACTTGGCCATGTCCATAAGTGTCTCTTTACCAAATCATCCTTGCAAGGGTAAACCATGCTGCTCATGTTCTCACACCTAGGCCTTATGGGTGGCCAAGGGATGGCCACTTGCAGGAGTGTAAACAGAGCTTATACATTCTTGCTTGGATGTCTGTGCAAGTGCAGTCATGTGGGCTAGCAACCAGTCCTCCTCACCAACACTGCCTTCCAGTCTGGAATTCCAAGGATCCCAAGAATTCTTCCTTCCAGATATTATAAAGGATAGTTGTTAAGGAGGTAGGATAAAATGTGTTTTAGTAATTTGTTATCTTGATTTTTAACTTTTAAATATTTAGGCATATTGTACGTGAGCCTTCATTTATTATTCTTGCCCTGGGCCCTGCCAATGCCAAAGGCAGGTTTGCTCCTAGGAAGCCTGCTTTCTAACCACACCAAATATTTGTAGTTATTTAACGCCTGGACTTCCTCAAACCTCAGTAACTTTGCACAGGCTATTCCCTCTGTCTAGAATGCCTGAGAATTTCCTTGTACTTATGAAGCATCCTTCAAGAGGATAAAAGGTAAAAATTACCACCACTGTTACTGTATATTAACATTGCTCTGGAAGTACTAACCAATACAAGTAGAGAAGAAAAAGGAACAAGAATACGTTAGAGAAATGAGAAACGAAACTCACATCCTTTCATATTGTATGATTATGCAGTTAAGAAACCCAAGAGAATCAACCAGAAAACTATTTTTAAATGATAGGAAACTATTGTAAGGAAGAGAGTTATAAAATTAATTTATAAAAATCAGTAGTTTTGCTATACACAAATAATACTTGAATAGACCACAAAAAACTCTTTTTAAGATTTAATTTACAATAGTAACAAAAAGATAAAATATCTGTGACTAGAATTTAAAGAAATACATAGGATGTATATCTGTAAAGTTTAGAGAAAACTCTAAAACTCTAGGAAATTATTTAATCAATAAAATAAATACCATAGTTACAGAAAAGAAGATTCAGTTGTAAAAATGTCAATTTTCCCTTAAATTGACAAATCAATTTAATGCAATAGCGTTCCAAGTACAAACAGGATTTTTTTGGAACTTGATAAAATAATGTTAGAATGCATCTGGAAAATGTACATGTGAGAATGGCCAGAAAAATTGCTACTAGATAGTAAAATGAATTATATAACTATTTAATTTAAATGTGTGGTCCTGGTTCTAGAAAAGACTACAAAAAAATCATAAATTGACCCAAGTACTTCAGGATGTTTTAGTATTAGCATAGGATAAGTCTGGAGTTTTAAATAAACAAAACCAGCAGGAAAACAATTTCACAAATAAGTTGCATTAGATCATCTGGCTAGCCATTTGAAGAAATAAGTAAAAATACAGTCATGCAGTGCATAATGACATTTCAATCAACAACAGACAGCTTACAATGGTGGTCCCATAATATTATAATACTGTATTTTACTGTACCTTCTCTTTGTTTAGATATGATTAGATACACAAATACCATTGTGTTACAATTGCCTACAATATTCAGTACAGTAATATGCTGTACAGGTTTGTAGCCCAGGAGCAATAAGCTATGCCATATAGCCTAGATGCATAGTAGGCTATACCATTTCGGTTTGTGCAAGTACACTCTATGATGTTTACACGATGACAGAATCACTGAACAATGCATTTCTCAGAATGTATTCCTGTCTTTATGTGATGCATAACTGTAGTTGATTGCCTCATTCCTTATATCGAAATTAAATTTCCAGGAAAATCAAAGTTTGTAATATAAAATTGAAATGAAGTAAGTCTCTGGACTAAAACAGGAGATAATTTTTTAAATAATTTTAAATCGAAGAAGTTTCATTTAACCATGTTGCAAAGATCAGAATTCAAAAGGAAAAGGATTGATAAATTTGAAATCAAACAATGCAAACCTCACTGCATAGCACACAAAGTAATTATCACACCAATGTTAAGGGACAACTGACAAACTGAAAAGTAATTTGCAATACATGCATCAGACAAAGAGCTGGTTTCCTTAATAAACGAAGACCTCCTAGAAATAAAATGTTCTAGAAAATCAATCAACCTAATAGAAAAATTCACAAAGGAACTGACAGTTCATAGGGAAAAAATATACATACAAATAATTGTTTGAAAAATGCTAAACCCTACTCATAAAAACACACAAAACTGCAGGAGCTACCAATGTCCACTATCACAGTGGCAAAGGCTTAAAACTTAATAAAACTTTGGATAAAAGTATGGGAAAATCAGTGTTCTTGCACAATCTCGTTAGAAGCGAGTTTGACTCGGTGAAATTTACTTGGAGGTCAATTTGTCAATCACGATCAAAAAAGTAAAGTGAATATATACATTTTGACCCAAACTTCACTTCTAGTGGTTTATCTTTTTCTTTTTTTTTCTTTTGAGATGGAGTCTCGCTGTGTCACCAGGCTGGAGTGCAGTGGCACCTTCTCAGCTCACTGCAACCTCTGTCTCCTGGGTTCAAGAGATTCTCAGGCTTGAGCCTCCCGAGTAGCTGGGATTACAGTGGGATTACAGGCACGTGTCACCGCACCCAGCTAATTTTTTTTTTTTTAGTAGAGATGGGGTTTCACCATGTTGGCCAGGATGGTCTCGATCTCCTGACCTCATGATCCGCCCACCTCAGCCTCTCAAAGTACTGGGATTACAGGTTTGAGCCACCATGCCTGACCTAGTGGTTTATCTTTAATCCACACACATGCTTAGACATATGAGCGCAAGCTTTATTTGAGATAGAAAAAAAAAAACAAAATTGTAAACATTTAAATATCCATTAAGAGAGAACTTATTAATAAATTATGATACAGTTATGAAAATGTCATGGATTTCTATGAACTACTTTGGAAATACGTCTTTAACTTTTATTTTAAGTTCAGGGGTAACTGTGCAGGATGTGCAGGTTTGTTACATAGGTAATGTGTGTCATAGGGGGTTGTTGTACAGATTATTTCATCACCCAGGTATTAAGCCTAGTATTCATTAGTTACTTTTCCTGATCTTCTCCCTCCTCCCACCCTCCACCCTCCAATAAGCCCCAATGTGTGTTGTTCCCCTCTATGTATCCATGTGTTCTTATCATGGAAATATTTCTTAAGTGTAAGAAGAGAAAAGGTACAAAACTGTATGATTTCATTTATGTAGAAAAGTATGTGTGTGTGTGTTTTGTGTGTATTGATACTTGTTTATACCTAAGCATTCTTAGAAGAATACTAAAGGAACTGTTAACATTGGATACCATTAATTATATTGGAGGTAGAGGAGAGAAACTGTTTTTTCATTTATATCCCTTTCTCCTATTGATAATTTCACCAAGTGGATATATTACATTTATAATTTTAAATATCCAGCCTAAAATTTAGGACAATTCAGTGTTGCCTAAGACTGCTGATCCTCCACCCCCACACACGGTTGAGTTAGGAGATTCCTCTCTTTCAGAGCATTACCCACAGTGAATTGTAACTAGTTACTTACATGTATGTTTCTCCTACCAGCCTGTGCATTCATTGAAGGCAGACATACGTTTTATTCATGTTTGGGTCACCTTCACTTAGCATAGCATCTGGCACATTGAAGAGGGGCAATATGTGTTTGATAAGTGAATGAGAATGAATGAATGAAGCTTTTCCATTTCCACCATCCACATTCAATCTCTCCCTCCTGTGAACTCCTACAGCACTCTGCAGCTCCAAAAATACTTGGCTCACTTCCCCTTAGGAATGTTTTACGAACCCTCCACTAGACTCCATAAGAACAAAGACAATGTCATTGTCATACCCATCTCCAGCCCAGCACCAAGCATGCTATCTGGCCCCACACAAAGCCCAGAAGTATCTGTTGAGTTGAACTGAAAACACCAACACTGTTAACATAAAAATAGGTTCTGTCCTAGGAAAATCGTTCTCCTGGTTCCAAAAAGAAATGAGTTCAGTCTTGCCAAGTCTGTTTTAGCAGAATAAAGTCCCATAGCTAATGACAGCCTTTAACTATTGGAAATGTAAAGCCACATTTTTTTTTTCGTATGGTAATGCAACAAAGAGGTAAGAAGCGTTTGTTTTTAAGTATCTAATCATTTCTTATTTTTTGCAGCAGGCGAGAGAACATGACAAAAGGCAATCGTACCACAGTGACCGAATTTGTCCTCATGGGATTCACAGACCGTCCTGAGCTGCAGCTCCCCCTCTTTGTGGTGTTCCTTGTCATTTATCTCATCACCCTGGTGGGAAACCTTGGCATGATCCTGCTGATCAGAGCAGACTCGCGGCTCCACACCCCCATGTACTACTTCCTCAGTCACCTGGCATTCATTGATCTGTGTTACTCATCTTCTATTGGGCCCAAGATGCTGCAAAATGTATTGGTGAAGAAAAAAACCATCTCCTTTTCAGGCTGTTTTGCTCAGCTGTACTTCTCCGGTGCTTTTGCCACTACAGAATGATTCCTCTTGGCCACAATGCCCTACGACCGCTACGTGGCCATCTGCAACCCCCTGATTTACACAGCTATTATGACGCAGCGGGTCTGCAGGGAGTTAGTGATAGGGGTCTATACCTATGGCTTCCGAAACTCTGTGATACAGACAGCTCTGACGTTTCAGCTGTCTTTCTGCAACTCCGACGTCATCCACCACTTCTACTGTGCTGACCCCCCTCTCCTGGCCCTCTCCTGCTCTGACACCCACAACAAAGAAAAGCAGCTCATGATCTTCTCTGCAGTAAATCTCACTGGGTCCCTCCTTACCATCTTCATCTCCTACATTTGCATCCTCTTTTCCATTATAAAAATCCAGTCTTCCGAGGGCAAGTGCAGAGCATTTTCCACCCGTGCCTCCCACCTCACTGTCGTCACCATCTTTTATGGCACACTATTTTTCATGTACCTGCAGCAACCAAAAGCGGGGAATTCATGGAAGCCAAACAAAGTAGTCTCTGTGTTTTATAGTCTTGTAATTCCCATGCTTAACCCTCTTATCTATCGCCTGAGAAACACAGAAGTAAAGGATGCCCTGAAAAAAATGCTAGAGGGCAAAGAGTTATAGTGAGTGAGTTAATGGAACGCAGCATACTGAAAGTTTGATATATTGACAAGGTAATGTCTCTAATTAAGTTTACATTTAGCAGGCCAACTGCTGTCCAATCAGGAAGCAAACAGTAATCCAATTTGGGAATTTTAATGACCAAAGTACTGGGTCACTTATTTAACATAGTAATGTTTAATCCAATTATCGTGAACTATCAAAATTGACTTACAAGCTAGAATGTCAATAACTGTGTCCTTCATGTGCTGAAGAAGAAATGGCTTACTACCAATTAAATAATAATATAAGCTCTATATTAAAAAAGATCCTGAAAAGCAACATTCTGGGTGAAACTATAATTTAACAAAGCTGGGTACAAAACCCACACATGAAAATCGATGTTATAAGAAACACTTTTCAGTTTACAACAGGCTGTATTGTAGAGAGTAATTTGTTAGTCTTAGAACATATTTCTTCATAACACTTTGCTACAGACGGTGATTAAGTTTCAAGACCAGCTTACAAAAACCTTATTTAATCCAAATGTAATTGAAATACTGCATGCTTTAAATAAACAATAGAAAATATAGTATTGCAGCAACAGTGGGGGGAGAAAAGAACAACAAAAAAAAAACCACTGGGATTCAATTAGATGGGGGGGTTGTTTAGAAAAGAAAGTTTAATTAAAAGAGATAAAGAGAAGGTTTAGGAAACTTTTAGAGATGTTAAAAATAGTCATTTTTTCAACAGCCAGGGTTCAATTTTTCTAGTCTCTGGAAAGTGGAGCCATAGTGAGTTTTTTGGGAGGGGGTGAGGGGTGAGTAGGGAGAAAAAGGAATGGAAAGAGGGAGCATTTGGGGAAGTAATCAGGCCTGGGTATATGTGAATGTTTCTAAGAAACAAAATTATTGTCTTAATTAATTTGAATGATCTAGAGAAATACTTTAGTTTTGCAACATTTTCCATGTTCTTTATTTTTGTTTTCACAGATCCAGCATTCCAATTTCTTGGAAATAAGGCTATATGAATTCTTGGTGTTTTGGGGGATAGGTGAAAGAAAAATCTCTAATTTTTTTTCATTTAGGCAAAAATATGAGCACTCTTTGTTTTGGGGTTTTTTTGTTTGTTTGCTTTTTGTTTTTTTGAGATGGAGTCTCACTCTGTCACCCAGCCTGCAGTGCAGTGGCACAATCTTGGCTCACTGCAACCTCTGCCTCCCGGGTTCAAGTGATCTTCCTCAGCCTCCTGAGTAGCTGGGACTACAGGCGTGCGCCACCACGCCCGGCTAATTTTTGTACTTTTAGTAGAGACAGGGTTTCACCATATTGGGCAGGCTGGTCTCGAACTCCTGACCTCGTGATCCATCCACCTCGGCCTCCCAAAGTGCTGGGATTACAGGTGTGAGCCACTGCGCCCAGCCAAGCACTCTACCGTTTTTCTAAGCCTCGATTCTAATACTTCTTTCAAAATAATTCTTAAGGCAAACAAATCTGCCATAAAAATGTTTATTTTCCTCCTATTTTCAAAAGTGATTACTGTTAAGTAATTTTTAATGGTTTGTAACATATACTACCAATTAATTACAAGTAAGTTTAAAATTAATCAAAAAAACTAAGAGGTCCCTGTTGTCCCCAAATTAACTCTGCAGATAATAATATGGGATCTTTGTTTTACTGTTGCTTATAATCAGATAATTTAGAAAAATAAAAAGTTAAATATTTACAACTTCTCCTACTTAGTTCAGAAAGCCTTTCCAGATAGTTGAGGTATAAGTTGTATCGCTAAGCATTTGAAGATGGAGTGTTGGCTATGGTTGAAAAGGAAGACACTAGCAGGATAAAGGAACAGAGGGAAGAAAAGCAGGAATTGAGCCAGAGAGGGAGGAGCGGTTGCACAGGTAATGAGCAACAGGGGAACAGGCAAAGTGGAGAGGATAATGCTGAGGGATTATAGGAGCCTGGGTATTAGACCAGGAGCTCCCCCTTGAGACCAAGCAAATTATCTTCTTCACTTTGTACCCCAGCACCTTCTGCAGTTCCTGGCATAAAATAGATGCACAATAACTGTTTGCTGAACTGAATTGAACTCGTTTGTGTTTATTCCTAACTCTCATGGGTGGGTAGACATGGTGCCCAGCAATGGTCCTGCGGTTTGGAAGTGACAGAGAAAAGGAAGCCAGTGGGGTTATGACTGGAAGACTGTTTTTCAATATTCTCATAATGAAACTAACATCCATGAGGTGGGAAGACATACAAAGGCAACAGCGCAACCTGACCAGAGAAAGAGAAGTTGGTACATTGGGAAGATGGCACGAGCTGGAGCTGTCGACAGACCATAACAATCAACGAACAACTGCTGCGGAACAAAGGTTGCTACTAACTGAGATAAAGATGAACACGGACCAACATTTAGATGGAAAATTGTGCTTTCAATCATAAGCCATGTCTATTTCTTAAACTTATTTCTCAAACTCTCTATGTCAGTTTAATTTAGAAAGTGAAAAATAACCATGCACTAGATATCACGTTTCAATACATGCCTCTCAGCAAATGAATTCTATTCATGTTTTCAAAGGAATATTCGGTCTAAAAGTTTCATCAGTTTTCAGTTCTTTTCAAGGAAACCTGAATAAAATGTTACAAGACCTCCCCATAATACCTTCCCAGCTGTTGAATTTGTACACTTGGCTCAACACGCCTCCTTGATTACTCTGTAAAACAAAGCATAAAATTGAGAATATTGTATTCATAGATTGCAAAGAATATAAATCTACATTTTACTAAATTTCCCAGAAACTCGAAAAGCAAATAGGCATGAGAAAAGGTCAGAATCAGCTAATTTTTGAGCTAATAATTCCTATTTTCTTTTCCCATTGAGACTCAGCCTTATACATTTATCTCCCTGACTCTGGCCTTATGAAGTAAGAAAGGTCTCAGGTGAAAAATTCTCAAATTAATTATTTGCGTTAAAAAATAGAGTGCTGTATATATGTATAGTATTAATATGATAATATATAATCCACAAGAGAAACAAATATAATTATACACCTTTGTTTCCTTATAAAGTGAGGCTGTTTCAGTCAATACGCAGAATAATTACACTAATCATTCAGCCCAAAGTAAATATCTTCTGAATATGTAAATGTCACCAAAATAATGGCAGATTTATCAGAATTTAAGACTGCAACATTTTGCTGAAAGTGAAAATAAACTCTTCTCACATGTAAATAAACAGCGTATTTGTCTTCCTTTGTTAATAATCCTAAAACTGAATGTTATTTGCCAGCATTCGCCACTTAGACTTTTCATTAACAAATATGATATGTATCTGAAATACTCATTTGGACATAAAATGCTGAATTTTTCAACTGGTATAGATTTCAACTTCTTATTTCTCTTCATTTTATACTCTATTGATTTGTCATGCTTGGAAACATGCCAAATGAATTGTTTTATTATTCCAATCAAAATAAGGAACCATGAGAGGGAACCATATTATTCTTTTCCATTTTCTTTCATATTATTTGATGTATTAGAATTTCAGAAATGTAAGCATTTTAAAAATCTCAAATATGTGCCCCCAAATTTTCAACTCTGCCCTGGATGTATCATTCTAGCATTCTTTGGTGAACAAGATTGAATAGAAAAGTGCTGATTCAGTGCTCAAGAGTGGCTCCACCTGCAACTAAGTGGTGCATCCACCAGCAATAAAGAGGCCACTGATGTCAGAACTTCAGGAGTTTAGGCTCCTGGGAAAGTGACAGATTTAGCCTACTCTTCCTAGCCAGCTTGCTCCAAAAATATAAACCTTTTATAAATAACTGGAACTTCCATGTCCGGTAAGACAGGAAAAACTAGAGAAGGGAAAAGATCATCTTTAATTTTTAAAAACTAAGTAAGTATCTCTTAGGCCTTGGCAGAAACTATCCTAATAGAGACAGTTTCCAGAAGGTCTTATTCTGTGGCCTAAAACAAAAATGTTTTATTCCCTCAAGCTTCCTTTTTTTTTTTTTTTGCCAATAACTTAATAGTTTGTTAGTCAATAATATTACAAATATTTTAAAATTATTTAATATAAATAGTTGGCAGCAAACCATTCCATTACAGAGTTAAATTACCAGTACAACAGACAGACTGGAGATTTAGACACCTGGAAGATAACAATAAAATAAGCTAAAATATTTAGCAAAAAATTTAAACTGAAGGCGTTTACCTAGTGTCCATAAAAGCACAAGCTTACTTTCTTTGCTTGGGCGTGTTGGCCACTCAGGCACCTGGACACCTACGAACCTGCAGCTTCTGCTCCTCATTGAAAGGCAGTCTTGTTTGCCAGCCACGTTGGATGTGGCATGAGGAGAAGGACAGTCAATGAGCCAGCCAGGCTCCAGCACTCTCCTGCCCACCTCTGCCTCACCCTCAGCTGGGGATGCTACGTGACTACAGCTTTCTCATATTTAGGCAAGAGTACAGAGAGCTCTCAGGTCCATCTCTGGGTTTCTCCTAAAAGCTTTTTATTTCATTGTTATTGTCTTTCCTCTTTAGAAAGAGCCACTTTTAACCATTTTTATTCTTATCATGTCATATTTCATGTGAAAGTTATAAATAGTATTTCACTTATTTGCTTTGGCAAAAGTAGCTACTAGCTTTCCTTAGACATCTTTCAAATGGAGAATTTAAACTAGTGTTAACTGTAATAAAGGAGCAAATTGAAAGGAAATTCTAATTAATGTTGCTTGTGTTGGGGAGTAGTCATTTTATGAAGAAAGGTTGAAATGTCTTCTTAAAATTTTGGACTATCTTTTCTTATATTTACCACAAATCACGGATAATTCTCAAGTGTTCACAGTCTCAAAATAGCAACTCTATTAGCTTTAATCTAAGAATACAGTTCTCTGCTCTGCTTTATTTAATTAGGTGTTAAAACACAATCTGTTAAGCCTTTATCTCCTGACATATTCCTATTTTCCTATATATTAAATTGTTAAATTTATCAAAAGAAGGCTGTCGGTATGATCACTTCATTAAACCTGTAACTGACTCCTGATAATGCCTATCAGTCCACACTTTAGACATGTATAATAGAGCACATCAGTAGACACCTGCAAACCAAGTAAGCAGAATAAATCATGCTGAGCCTGAAAAAAATGCATGTTCTTGGAGGTAAAGATTTTGCTTACCAAAAATAAAGTATGGTCTCAAAAAGCAGACGCTCAAAGCCTGTGGAAGCAGTGGTGATGTACTAGGAAGAGGAATAGATTGGGAAACTCACAGTCTGATCTTGAGTCCTTTGTATGCTCTGACCTGTGGTATCAGTCAAGTGGCTTGACCCGTCTAGCCTTAACTTTTTCATCTGGAAAATGAGGAAAATTGTACCTCAAAGAGCTGCCAAACAGACAAAATAGTCTACGGTATGCTAAAACATATTTTAAACATTATAAAAGTATAAAGCTTTTATTTTTAATAACCAGACTTTACCATGATTAGTGTTTAACTTTTAGAGTCTTTGATTTGAAGTGTTTGGGAAATCCTTGCTGGAAAATGTTTTTATATCTACCTATGTGACAAAATATAGAAGTTGCATACGTGTCCAATAATGCATTTTCTTTATGCATGACTGGAAGAAATTAATGCAGCCCATTTCCAACTTACAGGAGTTCTGGTCCCACTGTCTGTTCGCAAGTCAACGATCTGGAACATGGAGACTGTCCCCTGGACACAAAGTTGTCTTCTTAACTAATAATAAATGTTCACAGACATTTCTTTGACCCTAAACCACTACAGCTCACACATTTCCATAGCGGACACTAGAAACGTTTTTCTTGTTACTGCTGCAGTTCTGAAAGGCAGCATTTGTCCCCCATGTCTGTGACTGCTCTGAGCTTCTGCTGGTCTCACCCAGCCTCTGAAAAGACATTAGCGGTAAGCTGTAGGAGGCAGGCCAGGGTGTTCTATGGGGAAGGGGTAAGAGTAAGAGACCTTTTCCTTGGTCTCTGCTTGGACTAGCAATAAGCCTGGCAGAAGCTGAGGGAAAGTAGCACAAGAGTTAAGGTTCTGCAGAAGCCTCTTCCCCTACCTTCTTTCCCTTCCTGTGCTCTCTACCTTCCCCAAGCAGGGCTGCTAGGATGAGAATTCCACCGCCTCTCTAACTCTAGGAGGAGGGTGATGAGGAGCCTGAGATATGAGGATCCAAGGCTGGGTAGGAGGAGAGAAAAGGGGGCAGGGAAGAGGGCCGGGGAGAAGATGATGTGCTATTCTGAGATTCTGTGGAGATGCTGGCTATTGCTTTACTCTTTTGAGAAAGAGTAAAATCTCTCAAGTATTGATGAACCATCCAGGAAAATGCAGTGTTGCCTGTTAGAGTAAATAAAGTAGTTACAGTAGATATGTAACAAAAGTTAACTGAATCTAGACTTAATCTGCTCCCTGCTTCTCTCTCTCTCTCTCTCTCTCTCTCTCTCTCTCTCTCTCTCTCCCCCCCCCCCCACCTTCTTCCCTCCCTCCCTCCCTCTCTCCCCACCACACCACAGATACTCTATTGGGACCACAAACTCAAAATCCTAATGATTAAATTGATCATCATCTTCTACTTCACAGCCAACTACTCCTGCTTTCCCTATTTTTGTACATGACAATTTTCCCCAGTCATCTAGTTCAAAAACTATGTAGTTTCTCCTTATTACCTCATATTTCAAAGAGGAGACAAGACTTATCTATTATTCATCTATGCATTCATGCAAGATTTCTTGCACTAATCCTTTTCCTTTTCATTGCTACTAGCAGCTTTATCATTACTTTGCACCTGGACCTCCCTGGTATCTCTGCATCTAACCTCTTCACATCAAAGATCCTCAGTAGATTCATGTATGTATAACATATAATAATATCACCATTCCAGATCAGTGAGGGAAAAGATGGATTTATCGTAAATTAGAGAAAATGCAAGCCACAACACAGTTACTTTTTCTTATACTCTATATCAAAATAAATTCAACATTGATCAGATCTTAAGGTAACAAATGAAACCTTAAAAGCGCTTGAATAAAATATTGCTGAATATTTGCTAGGCTTGGAATAAGAAAAGCTTTTCCAAGAAAAGAATTAAGTTCAGAAGTTGCAAATAAAAAGTGTGAAAGATTTGATGAAATCAAAAATTTTAATGTTTATTACAATAATTAGTAAAAAAAAATTAAATGGGAAAATATTCACTATATATGACAGAATTAATACAGACAAATAAGATAAATCAGTGAAAGTATAGTTACAAGATATGAATGGATAACTCACAAAATAGGAAATATAAATGGCCTTTGATATGCAAAATATTTCACTCTCGTAATCAATAAAATACAAATTAACATAATATCATTTTCCCCTTTCAGACTGGCAAAGATGTTAACAAATATTAATAACCAGGATGACACTGTAGAGAAAGAGGAAACACAGTGTAAACTGGCATAAAATTTCCAGAGGGCACTTTGACAACACTCATCAAAAGCCTTAAAATTAAGCATCCTTTGATCTAGCAATTTCCTTTACAATAATTTGTTTGATGAAAGTACTCCAACAAATTCATGAAGATCTGTGTATTTAGCATTTACTGTTAGTGATTATAATAGTAAAAAAACAGTATTAATATAAAAAAATCAATGGAGGATTGATTAAATTAAGGATTAGTGACATAATAGCATGTAATGCATCAATTGATTTATTTATTGTTATGAAAATGCTCATGATATATGTGCAAATGATTTCAAATTATGTGTATGATTTTTTTAATTACATATGTGAAATATGTAAAGATACAGAGATTGCTGGTAGTGGTTGGTGTTGGTTATTTCTGGGTGATAGAATCCCAGACGCTTTTTACTGATTCTTTATTTATAAATAAACAGAAATTAAGAAATCGATCCCATTTGGGAAATAGTCTTAAATCTTCAGTTGAGATTTTACCCTATATTAACTCCAAAGTTATATATACCCTATATTAACTCCAAACTAGGGACCCTCCTAGTGACAAATGTCAAGCCTACAGGCAGGGGCCAAATTGAAAGGTTGCTACCATAATCTAAATGTATAGTGAGCGAATAATGCTAGTGAAAGAGACAGACAATGAGCCAATACAGGTGTCAAAGTTGATGCTGGAGTTTTAGACCTGTCTGACTAGGAGGCTGTTGGCCCAAAGAAGAGATGGCTAACAGAAAGATGCTGGGTCTTTAAGTGCCCAACACAGAGCCTTAAACATAGCAGCCATTCAAAATTTTTTTAATGGAAGAATGTAGTTCCAGATGATTTCTTATTATGATCAGTATATATGCTCTGTACAAAGTATTTTCTGGAGATTCCAAGAAGGCTCTAATAGAGGCAGTTTGATCAACACAAGAAACACCAAAATGGGAGTCAGGAGACCTCTTTTACCCATCTCCTAGCTGCATGTTTCTGAGCAACTCACTTCACCCTTTAAGGAGTCCGCATTCTGCACAGGCATTTGAATGCTACTGTTTTAGAGAGATCTTCCCTGATTTCCGGTCCTCAAGAAAAAGAAAGTAGCTGAGTCCTCCTGTTCTCACTTGTCTGGTTGTCAGAATCCAGTTGGCGCCTAGGAATTCACAAATCTCTGTCCTTCTTGTCTGGACTTGCCACTGACATAGTTAGTTCCCTTATCACGTTTTGGACTTAACTGACATAAAGAATACGCTAAGGAACCTGCTCAGAACATCGCAGGATATTGAGCTGGGCCTCTACAAAGGGTCTTAAACCCTGCGCTTAACATTCATTGGGCTCTTACTACCCTTTAGGCCCTGCTCTAAGCACTTTGCATACATGAGTATATCTCACTTCATCATTACTTAGCAAAAGCCGTTCTGATTAACCATAACACAGATAAGTAAAGTGGAGCTTAAAGAAACGAAATGATGGATCCTGGATCACATAGTGTGGAAATGGTGGAGGCCAGATTCAGACCCAGGAAGGAGACTGGCAGAGGTTTAACAGGTGCAGACGCTGCAAGATCTGCACAAGAGGCCATAAGAGGTTTTACAGCTTTCTTCACTGAAGTTTTTCACTGTACTTCATTACACAGTGTATACTTATATCAAGTTATTACATTGTACTCCTTGACAAATTTTTATTTGTCAACTAAATATGTTTTAAGAGAATAAAAAAAAGAAAGAATGGGAAATATAGTGAACTGGCTGACCTGTTATAGGAGTGTGGACTAATAATAGCACAAATGCCCTCTGATTCATGGTGTATGTCTAAATGATGGGGCTAGATTCAGGCTCCAAATTGCTTCCCTGGAGCACTGCGGTGGGCTGTGGCCTATTGTTCCTATGTCCACAGGGATTGTACTGCTCCCCACTGTCCTCACCAGTGAAAAGCCCAGAGCTGGGCTTGGATTGCTGACAGGGCTGGCCTAGGCATCAGCCTGTTTGCAACAGGGACCAATGCACAGCAAAGCTTTTCACACTCTGCCATCTGAACCAGAAGCCTAGCTTGCTTTTGTCGAGAGTGTTCTTAGGTACATAAATATAACAAGGAATTAAATAAAGCACATCTGCAGATTTCCTTCAGGCTTTACATATTCTCTTCCAAATACACGCCTGAGTCTCCAAGGGACAAGCACTGGCTCACCTTTCCTGAGCCAGCTGGTAAATAATTTGTATCAGAGTAGATGTCTGAACCCTACAATTCTTGTCACTTCCATATTCTCCATATCCTTTTTTTTAAAATATTCTCCATATTCTTAAGCTGCAGAGTCAAATTACTGTCATGATGCAAAAAACACCACAGTAGACACAATTTTTTTTGACAATTTAAATCCTATTTGAACCTCTCAGTTTTGGAGTGAAAACTAACTTTTGAGATGTGATAGATGAGAACCTAACAATTGCTAAAATCCTGGAATAGAAATAAAAGAAAGGAACTGCCTCTAAAACCTTACAAACTTTGCTTAATTAGTAAAGGAGCAACAAACAATTCATAAGCCCCTACAATAAACATCACACTAAGAAAAAACATTTTACTTAAGAGCCTTTAAAACATTCAAAAAATAATGTTCCACAATAAACATACGTGGGAATGTGTCTTTATAGTAGCATGATTTATAATCCTTTGAGTACATACCCAGTAATGGGATTGCTGGGTCAAATGGTATTTCTGGTTCTAGATCCTTGAGGAAATCATCACACTGTCTTCCACAATGGTTGAACTAATTTACACTCCCACCAACAGTGTAAAAGCATTCCTATTTCTCCACAGTCTTGCCAGCATCTGTTGTTTCCTGAGTTTTTAACGATTGCCTTCTAACTGGCGTGAGATGGTATCTCATTGTGGTTTTGATTTGCTTTCTCTAATGACCAGTGAAGAATGAGTTCATGTCCTTTGCAGAGACATGGATGAAGCTGGAAACCATCATCCTCAGCAAACTAACACAGGAACAGAAAACCAAACACTGCATGTTCTCACCCATAAATGGGAGTTGAACAATGAGAACACATGGACACAGGGAGGGGAACATCACACACCAGGGCCTACTGGGGGTGGGGGCAAGGGGAGGGAGAGCACTAGGGCAAATACCTAATGCATGGGGGGCTTCAAACCTAGATGACGGGTTGATGGGTGCAGCAAACCACCATGGCACATGTATACCTATGTAACAAAACTGCACATTCTGCACATGTATACCAGAACTTAAAGTAAAATTTAAAAAAGTTCCTAGTTTTGATACCTGAAAAAACTTTGCAGAATTCAAACACATTAGAATAAAATTTGATTTTAAAATATTGATTTAAAAGTTGAGTTGAACTAAACTGTCCGATGTATTACACACTCCTGATGATTTCAAGTCTAATATTTTAGACTTCCTTGAATTAAATATACTACCTACAAATTATCATTTTAAAATAACTATTTAAAAAATATCTGTGGCATTGAAGCTAGAAGCCACTTACTTCCATGTTTTTGCTATCTTGAATGTGTTGTTATCAGGTTCACACAGTGGTATAAATGGGGGGAGTTTGTTGAATCTGAGTTTTACATAACTTGAGAAAATGGGTTCTTGCAACTTTCCTCTGGGATTTAATACTAATCCTGTTACTGAGGAAATGATGAGGATATTATTCGAAAAGTCACAGCACTGATACCCTCTTGAAAAACATGAGCACTGTGGCCACAGTGCATTCTATTCTTTCTAGCCTCTGTAAACTCCAGGTAACTCACAGGTTATTTTCGCTCTCAGTAGATAGTTTTATTTGCATACCTTTTCTTAATTATAAAAGGAACATCAGCCTGAAATTACAAGCCCAGTAGAAAGAGTGTTTTAAGCAGAGGGAACAGCAGGCTGAGGGGCCCAGATGACAGAGAATATGTACTGGAAGAACTGAAAATCGAGGAGAAAGGTGCTGAATTAGAAAGTACAAACTAGGGGGAGGAGCCAAGATGGCTGAATAGGAACAGTTCCCGTCTACAGCTCCCAGCATGAGCGACACAGAAGACGGTGATTTCTGCATTTCCATCTGAGGTACCGGGTTCATCTCACTAGGGAGTGCCAGACAGTGGGCGCAGGTCAGTGGGTGCGCGCACCGTGCGCGAGCCGAAGCAGGTCGAGGCATTGCTTCACTTGGGAAGCGCAAGGGGTCAGGGAGTTCCCTTTCTGAGTCAAAGAAAGGGGTGACGGACGGTACCTGGAAAATCGGGTCACTCCCACCCAAATACTGCGCTTTTCCGACGGGCTTAAAAAACGGTGCACCACGAGATTATATCCCGTACCTGGCTTGGAGGGTCATACGCCCACGGAGTCTCTGATTGCTAGCACAGCAGTCTGAGATCAAACTGCAAGGCGGCAGCAAGGCTGGGGGAGGGGCGCCCGCCATTGCCCAGGCTTGATTAGGTAAACAAAGCAGCCTGGAAGTTCCAACTGGGCGGAGCCCACCACAGCTCAAGGAGGCCTGCCTGCCTCTGTAGGCTCCACCTCTGGGGACAGGGCACAGACAAACAAAAAGACAGCAGTAACCTCTGCAGACCTAAATGTCCCTGTCTGACAGCTTTGAAGAGAGCAGTGGTTCTCCCAGCACGCAGCTGGAGATCTGAGAACGGGCAGACTGCCTCCTCAAGTGGGTCCCTGACCCCTGACCCCCCGAGCAGCCTAACTGGGAGGCACTCCAAAGCAGGGGCACACTGACACCTCACACTGCAGGGTATTCCAACAGACCTGCAGCTGAGGGTCCTGTCTGTTAGAAGGAAAACTAACAAACAGAAAGGACATCCACACCAAAAACCCATCTGTACATCACCATCATCAAAGACCAAAAGTAGATAAAACCACAAAGATGGGGAAAAAACAGAACAGAAAAACTGGAAACTCTAAAACGCAGAGTGTCTCTCCTCCTCCAAAGGAACGCAGTTCCTCACCAGCAACGGAACAAAGCTGGATGGAGAATGACTTTGACGAGCTGAGAGAAGAAGGCTTCAGACGATCAAATTACTCTGAGCTACGGGAGGACATTCAAACCAAAGGCAAAGAAGTTGAAAACTTTGAAAAAAATTTAGAAGAATGTATAACTAGAATAACCAATACAGAGAAGTGCTTAAAGGAGCTGATGGAGCTGAAAACCAAGGCTCGAGAACTACATGAAGAATGCAGAAGCCTCAGGAGTCAATGCAATCAACTGGAAGAAAGGGTATCAGTGATGGAAGATGAAATGAATGAAATGAAGCGAGAAGGGAAGTTTAGAGAAAAAAGAATAAAAAGAAATGAACAAAGCCTCCAAGAAATATGGGACTATGTGAAAAGACCAAATCTACGTCTGATAGGTGTACCTGAAAGTGATGGGGAGAATGGAACCAAGTTGGAAAACACTCTTCAGGATATTACCCAGGAGAACTTCCCCAATCTAGCAAGGCAGGCCAACGTTCAGATTCAGGAAATACAGAGAATGCCACAAAGATACTCCTAGAGAAGAGCAACTCCAAGACACATAATTGTCAGATTCACCAAAGTTGAAATGAAGGAAAAAATGTTAAGGGCAGCCAGAGAGAAAGGTCGGGTTACCCTCAAAGGGAAGCCCATCAGACTAACAGCGGATCTCTCGGCAGAAACCCTACAAGCCAGAAGAGAGTGGGGGCCAATATTCAACATTCTTAAAGACAAGAATTTTCAACCCAGAATTTCATATCCAACCAAACTAAGCTTCATAAGCGAAGGAGAAATAAAATACTTTGCAGACAAGCAAATGCTGAGACATTTTGTCACCACTAGGCCTGCCCTAAAAGAGCTCCTGAAGGAAGCGCTAAACATGGAAAGGAACAACCGGTACCAGCCGCTGCAAAATCATGCCAAAATGTGAAGACCATCAAGACTAGGAAGAAACTGCATCAACTAACGAGCAAAATAACCAGCTAACATCATAATGACAGGATCAAATTCACACATAACAGTATTAACTTTAACTGTAAATGGACTAAATGCTCCAATTAAAAGACACAGACTGGCAAATTGGATAAAGAGTCAAGACCCATCAGTGTGCTGTATTCAGGAAACCCATCTCACGTTCAGAGACACACATAGGCTCAAAATAAAAGGATGGAGGAAGATCTACCAAGCAAATGGAAAACAAAAAAAGGCAGGGGTTGCAATACTAGTCTCTGATAAAACAGACATTAAACCAACAAAGATCAAAAGAGACAAAGAAGGCCATTACATAATGGTAAAGGGATCAATTCAACAAGAAGAGCTAACTATCCTAAATATATATGCACCCAATACAGGAGCACCAAGATTCATAAAGCAAGTCCTGAGTGACCTACAAAGAGACTTAGACTCCCACACATTAATGATGGGAGACTTTAACACCCCACTGTCAACATTAGACAGATCAATGAGACAGAAAGTCAACAAGGATACCCAGGAATTGAACTCAGCTCTGCACTAAGTGGACCTAATAGACATCTACAGAACTCTCCACCCCAAATCAACAGAATATACATTTTTTTCAGCACCACACCACACCTATTCCAAAATTGACCACATAGTTGGAAGTAAAGCTCTCCTCAGCAAATGTAAAAGAACAGAAATTATAACAAACTATCTCTCAGACCACAGTGCAATCAAACTAGAACTCAGGATTAAGAATCTCACTCAAAACCACTCAACTACATGGAAACTGAACAACCTGCTCCTGAATGACTACTTGGTACATAACGAAATGAAGGCAGAAATAAAGATGTTCTTTGAAACCAACGAGAACAAAGACACAACATACCAGAATCTCTGGGACGCATTCAAAGCAGTGTGTAGAGGGAAATTTATAGCACTAAATGCCCACAGGAGAAAGCAGGAAAGATCCAAAATTGACACCCTAACATCACAATTAAAAGAACTAGAAAAGCAAGAGCAAACACATTCAAAAGCTAGCAGAAGGCAAGAAATAACTAAAATCAGAGCAGAACTGAAGGAAATAGAGACACAAAAAACCCTTCAAAAAATTAATGAATCCAGGAGCTGGTTATTTGAAAGGATTAACAAAATTGATAGACCGCTAGCAAACCTAATAAAGAGAAAAAGAGAGAAGAATCAAATACACGCAATAAAAAATGATACAGGGGATATCACCACCGATTCCACAGAAATACAAACTACTATCAGAGAATACTACAAACACCTCTACGCAAATAAACTAGAAAATCTAGAAGAAATGGATAAATTCCTCGACACATACACTCTCCCAAGACTAAACCAGGAAGAAGTTGAATCTCTGAATAGACCAATAACAGGAGCTGAAATTGTGGCAATAATCAATAGCTTACCAACCAAAAAGAGTCCAGGACCAGATGGATTCACAGCCGAATTCTACCAGAAGTACACAGAGGAACTGGTACCATTCCTTCTGAAACTATTCCAATCAATAGAAAAAGAGGGAATCCTCCCTAACTCATTTTATGAGGCCAGCATCATTCTGATACCAAAACCTGGCAGAGACACAACAAAAAAAGAGAATTTTAGACCAATATCCTTGATGAACATTGATGCAAAAATCCTCAATAAAATACTGGCAAAACGAATCCAGCAGCACATCAAAAAGCTTATTCACCATGATCCAGTGGGCTTCATCCCTGGGATGCAAGGCTGGTTCAATAGACGCAAATCAATAAATGTAATCCAGCATATAAACAGAGCCAAGGACAAAAACCACATGATTATCTCAATAGATGCAGAAAAAGCCTTTGACAAAATTCAACAACACTTCATGCTAAAAACTCTCAATAAATTAGGTATTGATGGGACGTATTTCAAAATAATAAGAGCTATCTATGACAAACCCACAGCCAATATCATACTGAATGGGCAAAAACTGGAAGCATTCCCTTTGAAAACGGGCACAAGACAGGGATGCCCTCTCCCACCACTCCTATTCAACATAGTGTTGGAAGTTCTGGCCAGGGCAATCAGGCAGGAGAAGGAAATAAAAGGTATTCAATTAGGAAAAGAGGAAGTCAAATTGTCCCTGTTTGCAGATGACATGATTGTATATCTAGAAAACCCCATTGTCTCAGCCCAAAATCTCCTTAAGCTGATAAGCAACTTCAGCAAAGTCTCAGGATACAAAATCAATGTACAAAAATCACAAGCATTCTTATACACCAGCAACAGACAAACAGAGAGCCAAATCATGAGTGAACTCCCATTCACAACTGCTTCAAAGAGAATAAAATACCTAGGAATCCAACTTACAAGGGACTAGAAGGACCTCTTCAAGGAGAACTACAAACCACTGCTCAAGGAAATAAAAGAGGATATAAACAAACGGAAGAACATTCCATGCGCATGGGTAGGAAGAATCAATATGATGAAAATGGTCATACTGCCCAAGGTAATTTATAGATTCAATGCCATCCCCATCAAGCTACCAATGACTTTCTTCACAGAATTGGAAAAAACTACTTTAAAGTTCATATGGAACCAAAAAAAGAGACCGCATCACCAAGTCAATCCTAAGCCAAAAGAACAATGCTGGAGGCATCACACTACCTGACTTCAAACTATACTACAAGGCTACAGTAACCAAAACAGCATGGTACTGGTACCAAAACAGAGATATAGATCAATGGAACAGAACAGAGCCCTCAGAAATAACGCCACATATCTACAACTATCTGATCTTTGACAAACCTGAGAAAAACAAGCAATGGGGAAAGGATTCCCTATTTAATAAATGGTGCTGGGAAAACTGGCTAGCCATACATATGTAGAAAGCTGAAACTGGATCCCTTCCTTACACCTTATACAAAAATCAATTCAAGATGGATTAAAGACTTAAAGGTTAGACCTAAAACCATAAAAACCCTAGAAGAAAACCTAGGCATTACCATTCAGGACATAGGCATGGGCAAGGACTTCATGTCTAAAACACCAAAAGCAATGGCAACAAAAGACAAAATTGACAAATGGGATCTAATTAAACTAAAGAGCTTCTGCACAGCAAAAGAAACTACCATCAGAGTGAACAGGCAACCTACAAAATGGGAGAAAATTTTCGCAACCTACTCATCTGACAAAGGGCTAATATCCAGAATCTACAATGAACTCAAACAAATTTACAAGAAAAAAACAAACAACCCCATCAAAAAGTGGGTGAAGGACGTGAACAGACACTTCTCAAAGGAAGACATTTATGCAGCCAAAAAACACATGAAAAAATGCTCATCATCACTGGCCATCAGATAAATGCAAATCAAAACCACAATGAGATACCATCTCACACCAGTTAGAATGGCAATCATTAAAAAATCAGGAAACAACAGGTGCTGGAGAGGATGTGGAGAAATAGGAACACTTTTACACTGTTGGTGGGACTGTAAACTAGTTCAACCATTGTGGAAGTCAGTGTGGCGATTCCTCAGGGATCTAGAACTGGAAATACCATTTGACCCAGCCATCCCATTACTGGGTATATACCCAAAGGACTATAAATCATGCTGCTATAAAGACACATGCACACGTATGTTTATTGTGGCATTATTCACAATAGCAAAGACTTGGAACCAACCCAAATATCCAACAATGATAGACTGGATTAAGAAAATGTGGCACATATACACCATGGAACACTATGCAGCCATAAAAAAGGATGAGTTCATGTCCTTTGTAGGGACATGGATGAAATTGGAAACCATCATTCTCAGTAAACTATCGCAAGAACAAAAAACCAAACACCGCATATTCTCACTCATAGGTGGGAATTGAACAATGAGATCACATGGACACAGGAAGGGGAATATCACACTCTGGGGACTGTTGTGGGGTGGGGGGAGGGGGGAGGGATAGCATTGGGAGATATACCTAATGCTAGATGACGAGTTAGTGGGTGCAGTGCACCAGCATGGCACATGTATACATATGTAACTAACCTGCACAATGTGCACATGTACCCTAAAACTTAAAGTATAATAAAAAAAAAAAAAGAAAGTACAAACTAGGGAATGGCAGGAATTGAGGCTATAGATGCTGTGAAGGACAGATGATGCAAGGCCATATTAAGGAGTTTGGACTTTATCCTAAAAGCAATGTGAATTTACTAGACTTTCAAGCAGAGGACTAACAGACAAAAATGCATTTTAGAAAGGTTAGTCTGACCAGTGTGGGAGGTGAACAAGACAGAGATAAGACTAAAGGCAAAAAGAATTATTACAGTTATGCTCACGTAGCAGTCATACAAGAGCAAGATGATGGGATGAACAATAATGATGGGATGGAGAGACATGGATTTTTTTTTTTTTTTTTTTTTTTTTGGAGACAGTCTTGCTCTGTCGCCAGGCTCGAGTGCAGTGGTGCAATATAGCTTGCTGCAACCTCCGCCTCCCGGGTTCAAGGGATTCTCCTGCCTCAACCTCCCGAGTAGCTAGGACTACAGGCCCCTGCCACCACGCCCAGCTAATATTTTGTATTTTTAGTAGAGATGGGGTTTCACCATGTTAGCCAGGACAGACTCGATCTCCTGACCTCATGACCCGCCCGCCTCAGCCTCCCAAAGTGCTGGGATTACAGGCGTGAGCCAGCGCGCCCAGCCAGGTTTTAAAAAAAATTATGAATTACTTACATGCTATATTTTTGCCATCACTTTATTGCTAAAATTTATCAGTTATTTTGCTTTAGTTGAGTCCCTTGTAAACACCTTATATTTAAATTTTACTTTTGATATAATTTGAGAATATTCATCTTTTAATTCAAATCTAAATTATTCACATTTATTTTTATAAATATGGCATTTGGTCAAACTTTATCATCATATTTTTCTATTAGTATGTTTTCATTTTCCTAATTTTACACTTTTTTGCTTTTTCTTTTTTCTAACTTTGCGCTAGTGATTATCTTTCCTTCATATTTTACTTGCTAGTTACTGGTTATCTGTGATTTTTTTTGAAAAAGGGTGTCACCCAGGCTAGAGTGCAGTGGTATAATCATGGCTCACTGCAGATTCAACCTCACAGGTTCAAGTGATCCTCTCACCTCAGCCTCCTGAGTAGCTGGGACTACAGACGCGCGCCACCACTCCTAGGTAATTTTAAAAATTTTTGGCTGGGCACGGTGGCTCACGCCTGTAATCCCAGCACACTGGGAGGCCGAGGCGGGCAGATCATGAGGTCAGGAGATCAAGAACATCCTGGCTAGCATGGTGAAACCTCGTCTCTACTAAAAATACAAAAAAAAATTAGCCGGATGTGGTGGCGGGCACCTGTAGTCCCAGCTACTCGGGAGGCTGAGGCAGGAGAATGGCCTGAACCCGGGAGGCGGAGCTTGCAGTGAGCCGAGATCGCGCCACTGCACTCCAGCCTGGGTGACAGAGTGAGACTCTGTCTCAAAAAAACAAACAAACAAAAAAATTTTTAGAGATAGGGTCTCACTATGTCACCCTGCCTGGTCTTGAACTTCTGGGTTCCAGCGATCCTCCTGCCTCAGCCTCCTAAAGTGCTGGGGTTACAGGCGTAAGACACCTCACCCAGCCTGTGATTTTAAACATTGCATTTGAATTTGAATCACTTTCCAGAATACATCATGATTTTTACATACACCCTATAAAAGAAACAGTTTATCACACGTTTGCCTCCTCACTTATCTCCCTATAACCCCAAGTCCCAATGATCTGAATATTTTAGATTCATATCACAATTTTTTTTAACAATGCATCTTCTCTTTTAAAAATCACAGATGGGCTGGGCACAGTGGCTCACGCTTGTAATCCCAGCAGTTTGGGAGGCCTAGGTGGGTGGATTACCTGAAGTCAGGAGTTCAAGACCAGCCTGGCTAATGAGGTGAAACCCCATCTCTACTAAAAATACAAAACTTAGCCAGGTGTTGTGCTGCGCACCTGTAGTCCAAGTTACTCAGGAGGCTGAGGCAGGAGAATTGTTTGAACCTGGGAGGCAGAGGTTGCAGTGAGCCAAGACTGCACCACTGCACTCCAGCCTGGGTGACAGAATGAGACTCCATCCCAACAACAATGACAAAAATCACTTATGAACCTATATGTTATTTCAAAATCACATGAACAGGAATTATTTAAACAATTATTTCAGAGGAGTTATTATTTATCACCTTTTCTTTCTACCACATCTTTCACTTTCTTGAGTCAATCCTTTTTTCTAAATATTTTCTTTAATTTTGTTTTTGTCTGACATTCAATGAGCCTTTCTAACCTGAAGATACGAAGTTTTCATTAGCTCAGGAAACATTTATTTTATTTATTTGTATCATTGATTCCCCTAACTGTTCTGTTCTTTCCTTCTAAAAGAAAAAAAATTTCAGGAACATTTACTCTAGATTTCAATTTTGCTCCAACATTTATTACTGTCTTGAGAACCTCTATGACAATTTAGGTCAAGGGACAATTTATTCAAAAAAGAACAAACCATCTACAAATTCTCTTATCATGTGAGCCTCACTCCCATTCCGCATCCAGTGTGGTTTCCCACAAAGATGTTTGGAGAAGAGAATCAATGGAGGTGGAAATCTTTGGTCCAGCAGTTGGATGAGTCACAGGACCTTTTGGCCCATCTATTTGTTTCAGAAGGAACAAGCATAATATGTGTGTGCAGATTTCAACACTACATGGACAATAGCACAGCTGTTATTGTTGTGTATTCTTCTGCAAGAGGCCATGAACCCAAAAGCCTTGTGGTGAGGGGTTAAGACTAAGATTTTATTTCTTCTTTGTTAGTTGTTCTTTGTTTAGTTTCTTCTTTGTGCTTAAAAATATATGAAGTCATTACATGTGAAAAAAATAGATGTACATTATTTTAAGGTCCCATTCTGTAAAACGTGGTACAAATATGCATTAAATGAGAGACCTCAGTATAATTTAACTATCAGTGTTCAAGTTCAGTTTTTTCAACTCTGTATCTCCTCATTCTTGATTTAATATTTGGTTCATTTCTTGCCAAAATAATTATGTCTTTGAATAACTTTCAATGAAATGTGCATAAATAATTCATTTTCAGAGGCCGTATTTAAGTGAGACTATATCTATTCTCTTATCACATAAATTGCTGGCTCATAAACATTTCCCACAAAGTTCTTTAGACTTCTTGAAACTATTTGATTTCTGTCCCTTGTGAAATTCAAAAACTTCACCAATCTGCCTCCATGTGGGTCTCTTCTCATTATTATTTTTGCCTGAAATACAGGGAATATTCTCATTCTATAGAATCACATTTTTTTAGTTTATGAAATTTTCTTTAATCTATTATGGCTTCTGATTCACAGTAAATAAATGCTTCCTCAGAGATGCCTATTATCTGTATGTTGGATCTTCAGACTCTGTACTCCTTATTTTTCATCATCTCTCTTTCATCATTTTTTGCTCATATTACTTTCTGCATTGTGGAAGAGTCTCTCAACTTTGTGTATCTAGCACTAATTCAATAATATGCAATACCCATGTTTCACTTTCACATAATTAAATAAGTTTAATTATGATCTTTTTAGATTGCTTTTATTATTCTTTCTCTGTTTTAGTCAACCAGTCATTTCACCATTTCATTTCATCTACCATCTCCCCACTAAGATTTTTTTTTTTTTTTTTTTTTTTTTTTTTTGAGACAGAGTCTTGCTCTGTTGCCCAGGCTGGAGTGCAGTGGTGTGATCTTGGCTCACTGCAAGTTCCACCTCCTGGGTTCACACCATTCTCCTGCCTTGGCCTCCCGAGTAGCTAGGACTACAGGCGCCTGCCACCACGCCCAGCTAATTATTTTGTATTTTTAGTAGAGACGGGGTTTCACAGTATTAGCCAGGATGGTCTCGATCTCCTGACCTCGTGATCTGCCCACCTCGGCCTCCCAAAGTGCTGGGATTACAGGCTTGAGCCACCACACCCGGCCAAGATTTTTTATTTTTATCTTTCATGTATTGTTTCATTTAACAATGTTTTGGATTTTTATAAATAAAATGTATGTTGTTTCTAGTATGTTTTATTTTCTTATCATAAAATTTAGTATTTATATTTCTGTGTCTTCAGTAATTAGCCTTACCTAGTCCCTGTACCAATGAAAAAATAGAATGTGTCCATCCACCTCTATTTCTGCAGCACTGCTCTGTGAGTCATGCTGAATACTATTCTTATTTCTGACTTCCTTTGAAATCCTCTTGAACAGAATTGAGCAAGAGGTGAGGCTAGGAAGGGGTGCAGTAATAATGATGGTAGCCACCATGCATTTAGAGTGCTCTAGGCAGAAGCAGACAGGAATGATAGAATTTTATGTGACTCATCTCCTCACAGAAAGTCAATGCAGTGTGAAGAAAATAAAGTTAAATAGAGTAAATATAAACACAGTCAACAGTGTTAAGCCTTTTTAAGCAGAAAAACCCTATTTTTAAAATAAAAATGTCACATAGATTTCCAATAAGAAGAAAAGGAAAAAAGCACACTTAACAATAATTCTTCCATGAACATAAAAGTCACACAAGTTGTATCTGAAACTTGCACTCCATTCCTGTGCCCTACCAGGGTTAAGTCAAAGTATCATGGAGATAAGTATGGAAATAAGGGCCCTCTCCAATCAGAGCTGTCCTCAGAAAAACTGCATAATTATTAATGCTATTATTATTATGCATATTTATTATTAAACCTAGGAAATGAAAAACAAACTGCACATTCAACTCAGAAAGCAAGAAGAACAAAATATATAAAAGTCAAAGTAAGAAGTTATGATAAGAAGAAGAAAACTAGTTAGAAAAACAGGAGTATAATAGGATATACAACTAGTTCTAAAGGCTGGGCCTTCTATTTTAAAACTCATTAAACAGGAAAATCTCCAAAAAATCTAATTAAGAAAAATGCAAAAATTTAAAGACACAATATTAGAAATAAGAAAAAAGCTGTATAGCAGCTACTGAAACTTTAAGAAGTATATAAGAACACAGTACTTAGCACTTGCACTGTGCATAATCACTATTAAAAATAGCAGAAGTGTGGGAGATGTGGAAGTTTTATTTACAAGATTTCCAAATTCGTTCTTTGAGACTAACATAGCCTTGATGTCACAGCCAGAAACACACACACACAAAAACTATAACCCAATATCAGTTGTGAAGATAAAGCCAAAAGTTCTAAGTCCAACACGTGCCATTTGAATTCAATACATTATGTATTAAACAGTCCACACCATGACCAGGTAAGGTTTATTTCAGAGGGTCAGATATGAATAGAAACTATGTCAATTAATTAATTCTACTAAGGAAGAAAAACGAGAAAACATGTTAATTTTAGACTTGAAGCAATAAAAGCATTCTCAAAATGTAAGAAAAAAAGAAAGGCTGTGACCATGATCACAGCCATCAAGCAACATGATCTGGGAGAGGCTAGCTATTGCCTATGATGAAAAACTAATATTATCTTATTTTTATGAATCATAACAAGTAATACAAGGTTATTGTTTTAAAATATTAAACAAATAAATGATATAGACTTCCACAACTCACTTTCTGGAGATAACCACTATTGAACCACTATACATGAAAATATTCATGTATTCTCTTCCAGGGTATTTTTGTTCCTCAAACTTTTAATTGCATCAATAAATATGTGGTTATAGAAACTAAAATATTTTAACAATACATTGAGATAAAAAGTAAAAATCCCTCTTACTCCTCCCTGCTATTACTTACCTCATGGAAACAAGAGTTCACAATTTGATATGCATACTTCTGAAACTCTTCTGCATTTCATATATAGGATATGCAAATATTATCTTTCTTAAATATTTGAGATCTATGATCTATAAATATGTATATATACATATACAAATAACATATATATGCACACATATTATATGTATATATATTTCTCTGCCTTGCTTTTTTCACTTAAATTTAAATCTGAACTCTTTATGCAGCTGAATTAGAGAAGCCCAGCTGGATTTATGACCTAGCAGGTCTTTTGACAGTGCAAAGGCTTCCCCTGCAGGTCTTACTATAGAGAACACAGAATACATTATCTGGTTCGAAGAGAGAATAAATAAATGACTAGTCCAGTCTCTTCTGATCTCACCAATCAGATAAGTCATCACTCTTTTCATGTCTTCACATGTCATTGTGAGATGAAGAGAAGTGTGGAAACCATTTTCCCCTACTTCTTAAAGGGTGAATATTTCTGTTTCTAGGGCCAAAGCAGGAAGGTAGGGAGAGGAACTAAGATAATTCCAACCACACGGGACATAGAATATAGCACAGAAGTACTACAATTTATTTAATCATTTGCCTATTAACATTTTTTGTTACAAATATTGCCATAATAAACAGTAGGATAATGAATGCTTCTGGAATAAGACTGCTAAAAGTAGAATTGCTGGATCACAGAGCATATACACTTTTATTTTTATATATTGTTTTATATTTTAATTCTAAAACCAAAACATGAATATGGCTTTAAAAGTTCCAAAAGTACAGCAGAGTAGAAAAATTGAAAACCATTATCTCCCTTTAAAATTTCTATTGGCCACCATAAAAACTCCAACATTTATTATACCACTATTTTCCTGATTTATCAATCTAAGATCTTAGTTGCTGCCTCCCAGCTATAAAAGATAAAAAGGCAGTACATTTAAACTATGATCCATCTTCTCTCACACCAAAGCCAAAATCCATTCTCAATATCTCTCTCTGAAGTATATAAAGGATGTGATACTAAAGGTTATGTAAATGCCCAACAGACTGTCTAGAAACAAATGCATATCAAGGCTTATCATTGTGAAACTTCTGACAAAGGAGGCAGAAAATGGATTTTGCTAGATTCCAGAGAGAGGAAAATAAATACCACAAGCTTTATTAGCAATGAGAATGGCTTTAAGACTTTCAGTAGCAATATGGGAAGCTGAAAGACAATGGAACAATAATTCAAAATGCTTTTTTAAAAAGTGATTTCCAACTTAGAATTTTATAACCATCCAAGGGCCAGGGTAGAATGCAGAGCTTTTTAGATGAACAAGATCTGAAAATGTTTACCTCCCACACACCCTTTCTCAGGAAACAACTTGAAAATGTGCTTCATCAAAATAGGAGAGTGAAGCAATAAAGACATTAAATACCAGAGACACTCCCAAGATAAAGGTAAAGAAGACTCCAAGATAATAGCTATGCATCAAATAGGTGTGGAAGCATGTTAGGAAACACCAGTAAGGAAACACCAGGGACTCTCCAAAATGATGAAATTCATAGAATATCTGATATGAAGTAACATACTGAGAGAATTTTTAAACAACCAGAGGAGAAGAATTTGGAGATTGAATTAGCAGTATAGTTTCCTACTTAACTATAGAAAAAATAGAAAGTTATTTAGTTAAGTTGGCTCAGGTAAAAAAGAGTCATTATTTACTACATATCTCGGTTCTGAATTACATACATTGTCATGATAATTTAAAACTAAATATTGATCTAATTTATATTAAAGAGTAGCAATATTAGGAGTGAAATAACAAGAAATTAGCTGTGTAGAGTGGGAAAGAGAGAGGAATGAGAGGTAAATACTCATCTTTTATAACAGGAAGTCAATGGATAGTGCTTAAACCAAAAAAAAAAAAAAAAAAGAAATAATAATGCAAGCTTGATTTTTAAAGATATAATGATAAACAAATTATCCAACTAAAAAATAATTTAAAATGCTCAACTGTGGGGTAGGAGAAAAAAGGGAGAAAGGAGACTGAATACACTAATTTTTAACTTTTAAAATTAAATTAATATTAAAATGTGCAATTTTGACTTTGGTAAAGACAAACATTTTGAAAATTTTAATATAATGCATAATGATCCCATTAATGATAACAACAAATGCAGCATCAAAAGAAATATTCAAAACTTCTGTTAAAACAAGCAAGCAAACAAATGATATCACTTTACACACAAATGTAAGTACCTAAATAAATAGAAATGTGTTTCACATGAGAAAATTCAATATTACAAATATAATTATCATCTATTTCACTTATATATTTAAATAATTTCTCATTAAAATTTTACAACATTTTAACAAATGATGCTGAGATAACTGAATGTCCATATGCAAAATAATGAACTGGGACTTCTACCTCACACTATATATAAACATTAATTCAAAATGGATCAAAGATCTGAATGTAAGAGCTAACACTATAAAATCTTAAAAGAAAGCATAGGTGTAAATCTTTGTGATCTTGCATTAGACAACAGGTTTTTAGCTATAATACCTACAGCACAAACAATCAAATATATACATAGGAATGCATCAAAACTAAAAACTTTTGTGGTTTGAAGGACACTATCAAGAAAATGAAAATACAACCCAAAGAAAGGGAGAAAATATTTACAAATCATATATCTGATGAGCTTAGTATCTAGAAAATATAAAGAACCATTACAACAGAAGAATAAAGACAACACAATTTAAAAATGGGCAAAGGATTTGAATAGACATTTCTCTGAAGAAAGCATGCAAATGACCATTGGTCCTTTGAAAAGCACATGAAAATATACTAAACATCATTAAATATCAAGGAAACGCAAATCAAAACCACAGTGAAAAGAGTTCCACTTCCTGCATGACAGCATGGTGAGCTCCAAAGTCCAACCCCCGAGCAAAACAAGTGAAAATTGTATTTGGAAACACAATGATTTAGTCTCTGGAAATGCTTCTAAGGGTATACAACAAGTTTTTTTAAAAAATTTATTCAAGAAAATCTACTAAAACTTAATAAGAACAGTAAGATTCTGTGGTATTCAAAACAAGACCTGCTCCCTCCCTCCCCTATCCCAGTTCATCAAGAGACAAACTCTACTCCAAACTGATGAGGTCAAGAACTCAGGGCTCTCTTTCCTCCCAGCTTCCAGTTGGAGAGCTAACCTCCTAGAAGAGGGGGGATTTCAGCATTTCTTATCCTATGCCTAGTTCTGAAGCTAAGTTTCAGGTGAGAGGTCAGTTACAGCTGAGAGGTCAGGGCTCCCTTGTTCCACCAAGCCCCTACTTGTGGGATGGAGGATCTACCTTAGGCATATTATTATCGTGAATTATGAGGCCCTGATCACTCTTGCCCTAACAAATAAGTCAGTAAAGAAGAAATTGAAGGATAAAAACATGCAAGACATACAGGATACAAAAACTAAAATGGCAGACATAAATCCAACTATGTCAATAATAACATTAAATGTGAATGTATTGAACAATCCAATCAAAAGGCAGGAAATCACAGACTGCATTTAAAAAAACACACACACAAGATCTAACTCTATGCTATCTACAGGGTATATACTTTAAATGTATATACAGGATATATATGTTTTCAAAGTTCATCCATGTTGTAGCTTGTGTCAGCACTTCATTCCATTGTATGCCTGAATAATTGTCTACTATATAGATATACTACATTTTCTTTATATATCTTTAAGTTGAACATTTGGATTGTTTCCATTTTTGGCTATTATGGATGATGCTGCTATGAATGTTTATGTACAAGTTTTTGTGTGAACATATATTTTTAGTTCTTTAAGGTGGGACTTCAGAGCTCACCATGCTGTCATGGAAGTGGAACTCTTTTAATTGTGGTTTTGGTTTCCATTTCCTTAATGTTTAATGATGTTTAGTATCTTTTCATGTGCTTTTCAAATGACCAATGGTCATTTGCATACTTTCTTCAGAGAAATGACTATTCAAATCCTTTGCCAATCTTTATATTGCGTTATTTGCCTTTATTATTCTGTTATAACAGTTCTTTATATAATAAATATATTATTCCATAATATAGAAATATCAGTGTATATACAGGATATACACTTTAAATTCAAAAATTCAAATACGTTAAAAGTAAAAGGATGTATCATTCAAACAGTAACCACAATAAAATTGGAATGGCTACACTAATATCAGATGACACAGACTAAAACAAAGCATGTGACTACAGGGATATTTTATAATAAAAGGGTCATTCCACGATGAAAATAAAGCAATTACAAATATATATGCATCTAACAGCAGGACACCAAAATACATGAAGAAAAAACTGACAGAATGAAGGGAGAAATAGACAATTCAATAATAATAGTTGAAAATATTAATACCCCACTTTTAGTAATGGATGAAACATCTAGGCAGAAGATCAACAAGGAAATAGAAGACTTGAACAACACTATCAACCAAATAGACCTAATAGAAATCTATAGAATATTCTACCCAACAATAACAGAGTATACATTATCCTCAAGTGGACATAAAATATTCTCCAGGAAAGACCATAGGTTTACCAAAAAACAAACCTCAGTAAATTTAAAAAGATAGAAATTACAAGATATGTTCTATAACCACGATGGAACACTATGAGAAACCAATAACAGAAAAAAAATTTGGAATTTCACAAATATGTGGTAAATAACACACCCATAAATAACCAAAGGGTAAAAGAAGAAATCAAAGGGAAATTAGAAAATAATTTTAAATAAATTAAAATTAAAATATAGCTGTCAAAATTTATGAGGTATAGCTAAAGTAGTTACTTTAGAAAAGAGTTTGACGATTCTTCAAAAAGTTAAACATACAGTTACCATATGATCCAGCAGGTCCACCCATAGAACTGTACCAAAAACAACTAAAAAATACATGTTCACACACACAAAAAGTGTGCACATTCATAGCAGCATAATTCATAATAGCCAAAAATGGAAACAACCTAAATGTTCAACCTGTATATTTAAAAATGTAGTATATCTATATATAGTAGACAATTATTCAGGCATAAAATGGAATGAAGTATTGACACATGCTACAACATGGATGAACCCTGAAAACATTATGCTAAGTGAAAGAAAACAGAGACAAAAAGCCAATATATTATATGACTACCTATATATATGAAATGTCCAGAATAGACAAGTCCATAGAAACAGAAAATACATTAGCAATTGCTATTCTGGACATTTCATATACATTTAATCATATAATATGTTTCTGTGAAGATTTGCAGGTTTACCTTTCACCAGGATACAAGCCCCAGTTAGGGGATAAAGTTCTGCTTGCTGGGCTGAAGTAGCCATTGACAACAGGGCTGCTTCAGTTACTTAAAAAGAATGATAACAGTACATCCAGCAAGATACTTTTCTTCATTAACGGACATGTATGATCCATCAGTAAACTATGAAAATTCTGCATCTGGTATACGGGTTTCTTGTAAATCAGCTCTAGGTTTTAGTAGCTGGTCAGTTAAATTTAGTCAGTTATGAGGTGTCTCGTCATTGAATAAGAGAAGGCAATTTGCTGGATTATGATTATTGAAATGAGAAAGAATAATATGAGAAGTCAACAGCAAGATCTCATAAAAAGTGACTCTGCTTGCAGAAAGATATTGAGTATTATGAGAATTGATTAAAGCTTCTATAACATGAGGAACATAGATTTAGTTAAAGCCACAGTGCCTGATACAGCTCCCATGCAGGAAGGGAGTCCCTTAGCTACTGAATCTAATTGCTGGCTGTAACATCCAAGGGGTGTGTGTGTTAATCTCCATGTTTTCAGTTAAGAACCCCTAATGCACTTTCTTCTCTTTCATTCACTAGAAAGGAGGAAGGGGAGCTGATAAGGGGTGCCCTAAGGCAGGATGACTTAGAAGTCCTTATTTTAATTGAAAGGAGACTCTACAAGCATTCTCTTCCCAGTCCGGAGGCTCCAGCTTGTTAAGTTTCAGAAGGATATATAATGATAGAGCTATTAAGAAAAATTAGATACCCAGTTTCAACAGTACTCTGCCAGGCCCAAAAACCCTTGTGACTGTCTTTTAGTCTGAGGTTGAGGAAAGTTTAAAATGCTTTCGTATTAGTCCATTCTCACATTGCTACAAAGAAATACCTGAGACTGAGTAATTTACAAAGAAAAGAGGCTTAATTGACTCACAGTTCTGTGGGCTGTTCAGGAAGCATAGCGGCATCTGCTTGTCTTCTGGAGAGGCCCCAGGAAACTTACAGTTATGGCTGAAGGCAAAGAGGGAGCAGACATGTCACTTGGGCAGAGCAGGAGGAAGAGGGTGGGGGACAGGAAGGTGCTACACACTTTTTTAAACAACCATATCTTATGAAGACTCACTCACTATCCCGAGGACAGTATCAAGAGGATGGTGCTAAATCAGTCATGAAAAATCCCACCCCCGTTATCCAATCACCTCCCACCAGGCCCTACCACCAACACTGGGGATTACAATTTGACATGAGACTTGGTGGGAACACGGATCCAAACCATACAAGCTTTTAAGTCTATCAGGATCCAAGAGAGGTCCCTAGTTTAGTATCAAGTATCTGAAATATTTGACATTCCTTGGTAAATTGGAATTTTCTCTGGAAACTTTATGGCCTTTGTCTGCTAGAATTTTAAGGATATAAACGCTATCATGTTCACAAGCCTCTTTACAAGGAAAACAAAGGTTATCAACCTACTGAGAGTTGACCCTTGGGGAAAATAAATGTCCGTTAAATCTGTCTTCAGTACCTGTGAAAAGTGAGAGGGGCCTTCAGTACATCCTCGAGGCATTTCTGTCCAGGTATGTTGTTGTCCTTTCCACGTGCAGCAAATAAAAATTGTCTCTCAGTGTCCACCAGAACCAGTGCCTTTAAAAAGCACTACAAATGTCTATCACTGTGAAAAATTTACTTTCTGTGGAGATGAAAGTCAGGAAGGTACATAGATTTGTAACGACAGTGTCGAATAATGATATCGTTATCAATGGCTCTTAGGGCCTGTGCAAATCTCCACCATTGCCAAGAGGTTTCTTTACAGGAAAAACAAAAGTATTACAGGAGCTAGGAAAAAGCGGTACAAGCTTCTCACCGTGTGAAAGAAAATGAAGTAATTAAGGCTAAGGCTTTAAAGTGGAGACAGGAGATTGCAAGGGGATTGCACTCACACCTGCTAAAGGATTACAGAATGTTCCAGCTGACTTGGATAACAACTGAATTCAGTGTCTGCAGCCCTTCAACATCTCTCAGCTGGGAGTATCCTAATTAACCAATCAGAATGGGTTTGTATTTTAGGATTTCTGCCTAGCCAATGAACTGCCTCAAAAATTAACTTTTTGTGGAAGTCACCTAGAAATAAAAGTATAGATCAATGAAACAGAACAGACCCAGACAACAGACCAAAGTATATCTAGGAGCTAAAAATAAGATAAAAGAAGTATTTCAAGTTATTGCAGAAAAGATGTTATTCAAAAGTGGTGTAAGACTAGACTATTCTTTTGGTAAAAAAAAATACTGGATATCTAGCTTATACCACAGCCAAATGTAAATGTGTCCGTGGGAAAAATTGGAAAATGTGTTTTAATGAACTTTAGGTTGGATAGATTTTTCTGCAGATGACACCAAGAACACGATTCAAAATGAAAATGGTGACATATTTGATCCCATACATGTTTTAAATATTTGTATGAGATATTGGAAAGAAACTGTAAGGTAACTAAAAAATACTTGAAATCTATTCAATTCAATCTAGTATTTATATTATATAAAAAGTACTCACAAACAAAAAAATCCAATTTAAAATATATATAAATATTACATATTATATAATATAAATATATAAATATAGGATATATATTTTAATGGGCTGTATACATACATAAATTCATTTAAAATAAAATACATATAGGATAAAGGGCTCAACTTTATTCATGATCAAAATAATGCAAACAAAATAATAGCGATATATTAATTTTTACCTATCAGGTTAGCCAAGATTTAAAATGTAAGCATAAACCCCCCCCCCATTGCTAGCAAGGCTAAGGAGGAAAGGGAAATTTCATACATAGTAGGAGTAAAATGTTTCTGGAGGGAAACCTGGCAACATTTAGAGAAGTTAAAAATATAATTTTCTTTTATAAAAAGAATTGCACTCATAAGAATTTATTTTAAGAAATAAATCATGTAAGTGCAAGGATATTCATTTGCGTATTCTGTATAATAGTGGAAAAAATTGGAAACCACTTACTTGCTCATCCAAAGGAGGATGTGTAAGTAAATCCAGGACCATTCATATCATGAGATACTATCTGTAGTTGCATAGAAAAAATGCCCATGGTCGTCTATTAAATTACAAATAAAAGGATTCAAAACAGTATATATAAGATAATTTAATTTCTATAAGTAAAAATATGTATGCATAAAATTTGCAGGGACTATAAACAAAAAAAGGAAACTGGGAAAGTGTACAACTAGATATTATATCTCTAAGCTGATGGGAGTATGGATATTCTCCTTGTTTTTATTGCTTGTCTGTATTTTCTAGCCTTTTAAAGCATTTATTTCTCTGTTAATTTTCCAAAATAAAAATTTTAAATAGGAAAAAGAACAAAGAAAGAAACTTTTCTTTGCTAGATTTAAAATGTATCCTAACAATAACAAAGTAATAACTAAAACAGTGTAGTGCACTGGCCCAGGAAAATAATAAGCACATAAAGGAAAAGAAATATGATATAAATATTTATAAACACATATAGATGAATATATTTTTAAAATATGTGGATATTTCAATAAATTGTGCAATAAATATAGGGTTTTTTTGGAAAAGTCACAAAGTACCAGAAATGTAGGTGAAATTTATAAACCCTTAAGGGTAGGAAAATTCTTTCTAAGCATGGTATCAAAGGCAGAATCATGAAGGTAAAACAGATTTAATGCACAATTTAAAAGTTCTGTGGCCAGACACAGTGGCTCACTGTGCAATTCCAGTACTTTGGGAGGCCAAGGCGGGAGGATTGCTTGAGCCCAAGAGTTTGAGACCAGCTTGGCAATATAGCAAGACCTATCTCTACAAAAAGTAAATAATTGGCCAGTCAAAAGTCATAGTGGCACACACCTGTAGTCCCAGTTACTCATGAGGCTGTGGTACGAAGATCAGTTGAGCCCAGGAGGTCGAGGCTGCAGTGAGCCCTGATTGCAACATTGCACTCCAGCCTCGGAGACAGAGAGAGATCCTGTCTCAGTAAATAAACAAATAAATAAATAAATAACATGTTCTATGTACTTAAAGTATACCCAAATCAAAAATAAAATGAAAGTTTTGAAAAATATTTGTTAAGAAATGAAAAAGACAAATGCTCATAATATATAGTTTTCACAGAATAAAAATGTAGCTATGATTATATCTCTATTGCCTAGTGTTTTTCACATCCACAGTCCACATCAGAAAACAGCAATCCTGGGTTGATTCTTCTGCCTCAGGTACTATAATTTTCAATATATTGCATATAAAACACACCCTGTATCCCGGCCCCAACTGAGTGGAACAAGCACCAGTGTGTGCTCTGGTTATCCTTTTTCTGACCTGGTAACAATCTTTTCTTGCCCTTCGCTGATCAACTCTGCTCTGTGCCCCAGTGGGCTGCACACACGCATGCGCACACACACACACACACCACACACACTGCACCACCCAGGCTCTTAGATCTCTGCATTCTGGTTGGGTCTAGCCGATTGAAAGCACCAGCGAAAGGTTGGAAGTGTGGGAAGAGAGGTTAGGGGATGTAGTCTCTGGTTTCCTCCCTGCTCCCCCTTGCACTGTGGTTCTGGCAGTGTCTAGTGCCTCTACCATTAGTGCTCTAACCAGGCAACCCCCTGCCACACGTCCGCCACTCAGGTGACACTAATTCCTTATCACCATTTCAAGCCTAGGGTCTTAATGGCTTTATTTTTAGTTAATGTTGTTACTAGTCTCTGAGTGCCTCAACATCCCTCATGATTCCCCTTAATTCTGCCCATACCTTGGTAAACAGCCTCTTCATTAAATTCTCTCCAAAATCTCCACGAGTTCACCTTCATTTCCTATAGTCCCTGCCTGAGAAAGTGGATGAACGCAATGCTATCAAAAATTGGCAAGGAACTGCAACCTCCTCTGAGTTGGCTTAGTAAGATTGTATACCTAATCAGAATGATCCCCATTAAGATGACGCATCTCCCTATTTATATCTCCTTTAGGTGAACTCAGAGGAAGTGGGTCACTGAGTTCCAGCTGTATCTGGATGACCCTAAACTCTTGTAACTCTCTATGATGCCAATGCACTGGAAGCCCTGGGAGTCATAGGGGGCTTGTTGTTATAACCCAGATTTCAACAGGCTTTTCTAACTCCTTGAGACCTAGAAAAGTCTCTGAAATTTTAGCCAACATCAGACTTATGAGACTATAAATATTGGAACAAAACAGGTAAATTATCATTACTTCCTGATGATGCTCATGAAGCCCAAGAAAATCAACTAAAAAGAATACTATGTATAAATAATTTTTCCATAGCTGACTAGTTCCATATTTGTCATAAATTATTTTTTATTCTTGATTTTTCCCTCTTCCTAATGTCCCATTGTAATGGGATCTTTGGGGTGTCACTCTTCTGGCCAGAAACCTCTGTGGCTGGCTGGTGACACCTTTGCCCAAGTTCTTGTCCTATGTCCAGAAAGAATGAGGTATGCAAACAAGTGGAAGTTGAACAAGATGAAGAGGAGCTTTATTGAGTGTTATGACAGCTCAGAGGAGACCCACAGAGGGTAGCTCCTCTCTGTAGGCAGGTAGTCCTGTCAAGTGTTCAGCTCTCAGCAGAGAGGAGGGCCTGGAGAAGGTAGCTCCTCTCTGCAGGCAGGTAGTCCTGTCAAGTGTTCAGCTCTCAGCAGAGAGGAGGGCCTGGAGAAGGTAGCTCCTCTCTGCAACTGGTCATCCTGATATCTGCAGCTCTCAGCAGAGGAGGCCCTGGAGAGGGTGGCTCCTCTCTGCTGGCAGGTCATCCTGTGATCTCTACAGCTCTCAGCAGAGAGGGTAGCTCCTCTCTGCAGCTGGTCATCTCATTATCTCCAACTCTCAGCAGAGACAGTATCTCCTCTCTGCGGCTGATCATCCAGTCCTCTCTCCATCCTCTGCTGGCTCTTGCTGAGCCCGTGGCTTTTATGGACCTCAGAGGGGAGGAAGTGTGTGTTGATTGGTCCATGGCGGCCATGGGTGGCAGGTCCTGGAAAAGGCACCAGAAGCCCCCACTCCAGTTTGCGGGACTGGCGGCCCAGCCCCCAGAATTCAGGCCCTCCCTGGCCTGAAGGTGGGGCCTTACTGGGACTGCCCTCTTCTGCCCAGGAACCTGTTTGCCTCCTGCTGCCATTCATGGTGCCAAAGCTCACCCAGACTTCTCTAAGATCTGAGCAGGTACCAACAGCAGGGGAGAAGCCAGGCAGGCAGTGGGAGCAGGCACTTCTGAGTCTACAAGGGCAGGGGTCCTTCTCAGCCCCCAAGAGTTCAGGGATGCAGGGAAAGGGGGAGGGTCTGGCTCCTGCTCCTGCTCCTGCTGCACGAAGTGGGAGGCCCGGATCTGTAGCCACTGATCCGGTTGTTGCAGCTGCACCTGGGAGGGTGGGGCTCCTGCCTGTTCCATGAAGCAGGAGGCCCAGGTCTACAGCTGCAGTGTGGGTAGCTGCAGGGCACCCTGGGAGCTCCAACCCCAACTCGGAACAGGCAGGGCTCCCGCTTGTCCAAGGATCCCGCCAGCTCCATGGAGCATGCAGCCCTGGCAATGCCTCCCTGCTGCTGCCATCACCATGACCTATCAGTCACTAAGTGAGCAATTCTATGTGATATTTCTTGAAATTCTCCATCTGACTCCATTTTTATTTTGACTGCCCAGACTATCCAGGGTCAACAGCAGTCAAGGCCTCTTTGCCATGGCAGCAACCCATGAGTCAGCCAAGATGAGCAGACAGGCTGCCTGAAGAGCCCACCGGGACAGGGGCTTCTGAGCTCCACTCAGAAGTGGAGCAGGTAAATGATCAAGGTGGCAGCAGGTAAATGATCAAGTGAACTGATTCATGAACATTAAAATGAAGCAGAAAACACTAGATGTGTGTGTGTGTGTGAATGCATGTGGGTGAGTGTGTGCTTAACTTTAGATCCCAATAGGGACACGTGCTTTTCAAATGCTTATGACACACACAAATTGGCCATAGATTCAGCTGCAAAGAAGTTTTTAATAGATTTCCAAAGATAGAAGTCATATAGAGTACAGTGTTTATCGAAATAAATTAAAACTGAAAATGATAACAGAAAATAGAAAAAAAAATTCTAAGCACTTAAAAATGAATACCTCTTATAAATATCTTGAGTTTTTAAATATATTCCTTTTATGGCATAACTAGAAATGGATCACTATCATCAAAGGAATGCATTGTATATCACTATTTGTCCAAAGTGGTAAACTGAAGAAAACTTGTAGCCTTAACACTATTTAATTTAAAATTAGGGTGATTTATAAAATGAAATATTCAATCAAGGGGGCTAGAAAAATACCACTAATCATAATGCAAAAAGTGGTGGAAATGAATTAATACATATAAAAGCATGAATTAAATAAATTACAGAAAACCAGTATACTTGATTTAATGAGGAAATATCTACTTCTTTGCAATAACCAATAATTGGCACATCCTGGATAAGTCTACCAAAGGGAGAAAAGAAAAAGAAAGAGATGTAAGAAAAGAAAGGAAAAAAACATAAAATTAAAATAAGGAAAAGATGTATAACCACAAATTAAAATAATTTGCTAGGTTCAGCTTGATACTATAACCATTTTATAACAAATAATTTGAAAAAGCTAAATGAAGGAATTGTTTTCCCAACTGTTATAGAGTAATACTTCCCAATATTTTTCACACCATAGAATTCTTGGAAAATGATAATGTTGCATGGCACAGTAGTGTGAAAGAAAAATTTTACTTGTGCCTAGAAGCAATAGCCATTAAAATTCTGGCCATCTCAGCACATCTGTTACCCACTTATGGCAGGCTGGTTGGAAGTTGTATTGTAAAAGTCCTAGTCAAGACAATATGCCAAGATTAGGGGGAGACAATGAGGAAGAAAATGCTAAAATGAAGAAACACAATCATCAAAATTATGATTTTTTGCAGATACTATTATGTAATTAAATTGATAGAAGAAAAAATAGGGAAAACCTCAACATAAAATCATAAACAGAAGAGTTAGGAGTGGAACTCTAAGTTCAGAATCAGTGGATACAAGCAACAGGAAGAAGCAATGGAGATAGTCATCAGAATGATTAAATAAGGTATTGCCAATAGTTGACCAATCCCTTTTCCTCTGCTTATGCTGAGCACAAGCTCATTCCCTGTGAAATTAAAGTAGTGAGTGTGGCCCCTAGGAACAGAGACTCAGGGCAATTTTCCAGGTAGGGTGGGCAAACCAAGATGAATGGATTGCGCCAACAATCAAAAAAAATTTTTTTAATTATTGACATACTCACATGGCATGTTCTACTCCTCCAAATGATAAAGGGAAGCTCATCAGAAACCACATACATAGGTAAATACAGAGAAATTATCAGTCCAAAGGTGAGATGGCAATCAAAAACCACCAGGCATTTGAGGAAATTTTACGCCTTAAAAGAGAGAAACCAGACAGGTGCAATGGCTCATGCCTGTAATCACAACACTCTGGGAGGCCAAGGCAGGAGCATCACTTGAGCCCACGAGTTCCAGACCAGCCTGGGAAACATGATGAGACTCTATCTCTACAGCAAAAAAATTTTTAATTAGCCAAGCATGGTGGTATGAGCCTCGGCTACTCAGGAGGCTGAGGCAGGAGGATCTCTTGGCCCAGCAGGTTGAGGCTGCAGTGAACCATGATTGCACCACTGCACTCTAGCCTGGGTGACAGAGTGAGACCCTGTCTCAAAAAAAAAGAAAGAAAGAGAGAAACTTAATTTCATTAACAAGAAATAATACCTAATAAAACAGATCATAAACAAAAAAAGTTAAAATTACTTCAATTAATAGAAACATACATTACTAAGAAGATTATTTAATTATGTACTTTAAATACTTGAAATTGTGATGACTGAAAAATATTTGAAACTTATTAGATAAAAGAATGGGCTGAAAAAGGGAATAGACATGATTGAAGAAGGGACTGATGGACTAGAAAACTAAACTTTGTTTTCACCACCTAAAAGCAGAACAGAAAGAAAAGATTTGGAAAATAAAAAAGTGGACATGCAGAAGATATATTCAGAAACTCAAGCCCTATTTATTTAAATAGAGTTCCAAAAGGAGAAAATAGAATGAGGAGAGAAAACAGTCAAAGATAACTTTAAGAACATTTCACACAGCTTAAGAAACACAAAAGTCTTCAGATTTAAAAGTCCCATTGAGTGACAAGCATGGTGAATGTTACAGAGGCACAAATCCAGATTCCTCCCATGGTAAGTTTCAGAGCACCAAGAATGGAGTGTAATATTACAAACTTTGGGCGCGGGAGGAGAACATAATTTGACTCTAAAGAAATAAAAAGATTAATCCCATGCTTTTCTTTAGCAACAGTTTGTGATAGAATGCAATAGGCTTTCCTCAAAGTTCTAAGAAAAGTTTATTTTGAGCCTAAACTACATCTAGTCAAACTAGCATTGAGATGAAGTACAAAACAAAGCATTTCAAACATGCAAGATTTCAGGAAGTTTATTGCTCTCAGGCTCTCTCTGAAAGAAACCCCATCTCTACTAAAAATTCAAGAAATTAGCCGGGCATGGTGGCAGGTGCCTGTAGTCCCAGCTACTCGGGAGGCTGAGGCAGGAGAATCGCTTTAACCTGGGAGGCAGAGCTTGTAGTGAGCCAAGATCACGCCATTGCACTCCAGCCAGGGCAACAGAGTGAGACTCCGTCTCAAAAAAAAAAAAGAAAGAAAGAAAGAAAAAGAAAAAAGAAAAGAAAAGAAAGAACTATTCCAGGATATAATCCAGCAAAAAAAAAAAAAAAAAAAGGGGGATTTCAAGTCAAAGGGAAATCACACACGCAGACACAAGTGAAGTAAAACTCAAGGAAATCATATAATTAACCTCAAACAATTATTGACGCAGGCTGCAAAAAAATGAGTTTGGAAAGAAATCTCAGCGTCAACAAGAGAGATTATAATACAAGGCAAGAGAGTGGGTTTGGGGGAGAAGGAAATAAAAGTGTACTGAAGTTTTACCTTTTTTTTTTTTTTTTTTTTTTTTTTTTTTTGAGACTGAGTCTCACTTTGTTGTCCAGGCTGGACTGCAGTAGCGTAATCTCAGTTCACTGCAACCCCCGCCTCCCGAGTTCAAGAAATTCTCATGCCTCAGCCTCCGGAGTAGCTGGGACTACAGACGCGAGCCACCACACCCAGCTAATTTTCGTATTTTTAGTAGAGACGGGGTTTCACCATGTTGACCAGGCTGGTTTCGAACTCCTCATCTCAGATGACCCGCCCGCCTTGGCCTTCCAAAGTGTTGGGATTACAGGCGTGAGCCACCAGGCCTGACCTGAAGTTTTAATCTTGTTGAGGGAAAAGGATATAGTGAATAGATGTATTGATTAATTATATAAATCAATCTAAAATATTTAACATTTAACATTCTTAAAATTAAAATTCCTTAATTGTAATTTTAAAATTCTTTGAAATTGTGTTTCTATTTTAATTTGGTTGTACTTTTTTCTTAATTCTTGAGATAATCACTAAGGATAGATACTTTTACCCCTAGAAATACTGTTTCACTCCATAAGAGATTATTTCAGAAGTTATCTTCAGCCCCCATGGCACCCTCTCACTCCCCTTAACCAATCCATCACTAATGGTCATGCCAGTTTCATCCCAATACCTCCCCAGTCTATCTGTCTCTTTTGTAACCACCACAGTTCAGCCCATCATACCTCTTACCTGGACAGCCTCAATAGTCAGCTAACTGGAATCCCCGTATCAATGTCTGTTTCCCATTGCCTACACTGCAACTTCTCAAAGATCTTTTCAAAATGCAAATCTGTTCATGTCTGCTCTTGGCTTAAAACTTTTTGATGTCATTAGATGTATACGAGAGACTTCAATTATAATCAAGTTCATATTATTTAAAAGCATTATCCAATTATAGTATTATATTTAAGTTAGTAGTAGTTACATGGAAATGTATTACATTATCCTCTGTCATCTATATATGAAACATTTCTCACATGAGAAAAACAGCCAAAAAGTTCAAAACAAACAAAAAATCAAAATCAAAATATAGCAAGAGATTTTTCAATTGCATCCTTAATGAAGTATTAAAGTTTTCTATATCCAATCCTTGCACATGGGCCATGCTGATCTTCTCTGTATCCAATTTTAGTACATGTGCTCCCGAAGTGAGCACTATATGTCTAAACTTAACACCTCCTCAGTTATGATATTAATACTTCTCATACTTCTTTGAGTTCTTTGTCTGAGATTTCTTTTTGCTACAGAGGCTTTGTTGTTTCTGCCCATGGCTCTCTCTGCCACCTACTCTCTACAAACTCCCTGGTTAATTCCTATTTAAAATTCAGATTTAAATGTAAATATCACTTTCTTGGAGATGTATTTCTTAACCTGTCCAGCCTAGATCAAGGTAGATAGATCAATAGATAGATGATAGATAGATAGATAGATAGATAGATAGATAGATAGATAGTCTTATTGGTTTGCTTTACATATTCCTCCAAACACTTATTGGCTTGTGATGATGCGCTGATTTATGTAATTATTTTATGTATGTATTTTGCCGTCTACTATAAGCCCCATATGGGCAGGAACAATGTCTGTTTTGGTTCCTTATTTTCAAGTCTAGCATGGAGTGACCCCTTGGTAAGTGTGAGTTGAATGAAGAAGAAAAGGGACATGCTGTGCCTGGGATACGGTCAAAACTTAGAACCTGGAGTTAAAGGGAAAGGTAGTCTATTGCCTCTTCTGCCACTTAGCTTTGGACAATGCATTTGAGCCTTCCCAGCTAGGTTTCTTCATGAGTAAAATGAAGGTAATAGTAGTGCCTCTGCTACAGGGCTGTTAAGAGCATTAAATGAGAAAGCACAAAGAGCTCAGCAGAGTGCCCAGCTCATAGTAGACACTCAAATCATTATTCATTATATTTTCATGCTTCTATATTTTTCTTCTTTTGTTACAAAATTTTCACACTGAAATGTTCTCCCTCTCTGCTCATGCTCTTCCTACTGTGATGTGTTGATCTTTTGTGTCAAACTGAAACTGCTTTCCATTTCAGGTCATCTGCAGAGCATTTGAATGATAGGAGGAGGAGATGATGGCGCTGCCATTTATCTGTCAGATGTGTCACTCTCTGTGAGGGGCTGGCCTCTCACAGACCTGGGGTTCCACGGGCTGCAGGGAACCCACCCGAGGTAGAGACCTCTGGGCTGGGCCCCTTGTTCTTTCCTTTCACTCTGTCGAATCCTTGGCTTTTATTTTTCTTCAGGGAAAACATGACGGTGTTTTTCTTGTAGATTTGTTTTGTTTTATTTTTACTTCAGATTCATGTGCTTATATTGGACAAATCTTAAAGCTTCCACATGTTATCCAGGGAAAAATGTATTGCTTTTTATTGAGTTGAGACTGATCAAGCTATCAAAAATTCACACTTGGCTGAGGCTGTCTTAAGTTTGGTCAACTTCTCTAGGTTCAGCAAGATTTTGTAACTATTACTGAAGTCTGTGGTGGCAAAGGGGCTCCGTGAAGGGAAACATCTGGATTTAAAGTAGACTTTAATTACATCTCACACCCCTGCTCTAGACCAATGTTTAAAACCCCAGGGAGAAGCTTAAAAGTGTGACTCCGTTTGAAACTCAGGAGTCATTTTAACCTAATTGCTCCCTTATAGCTTAAAGCTAACACCTAAGCCTTTAAGAATAAACTCATAGTCCCTGATTCCTGACTGTATTTGCCCTGAGTAAGTGCTCCCACAGGATCTGCACACTATCGCTAATTTCAGTAAATGTTTTCACGGTCTTGGCTGTAGAGTTAATGCCTAACAAGTTCCAGAGGAACCAATTTCCTGCTGGAGGAAACTTCCTTACCAAGTTTCCTAATTATTCCCAGTCATTGCCCTGTAGAATCCAACTGGCCAGGGGAGGCTGTTAATAGGCCACAGGTGACAGCTACAGTTAGGTTACCAAGGAAACAGATCAACCATGCAGAGAGCGATGTTTGACACAAGGAGACCAGGGACCCGTAAATACATGTATTTCCTGCTGCCTCTTGTTTCCTGAGGTGGGGGGAATCAGGACATACATCCTTCCTCTCAAAGTCATTGAGAAATTGACTATAGTGAATTCTCCCAGCCAACATTCTGAAACTTTTTGGTCTCAAGACTCCTTTATACTTCTAAAATTTCTAGAAAACCCCAAAGAGTTTTTGTTTATGAAGATTATAGCAATTCATATTTACTATATTCAATATTAAAACTAAGACATTTAAAAACATTTATTTAACTCATTCAAAAATAATAATAACTCCGTTACATGTTGACAGAAATAACAATTTTGATCAAAGATATTTAAAAGGATGTTATTGTTTTACATTTTTGCAAATCTCTTTAATATCTGGCTTAGAACACAGCTGAATTCTGTTTCTGCATTCAATCTGTTGTGATATAATGCATCATGTAGCTTCTGGAAGACTACTGTACATTCTTGGGCAAATGAGAGATAAAAGGCAAATAATATTTTTAAATTACTATGAAAATAATTTTGATCTCACAGTACTCATAAAAGTGTCTCAGGGTCTCCCAGAGGCCCCAAAACCAACTCTCAGGACAACTATTCTAAACAAAACCGCACTAAAAGATGGTCATTGAATAGCTTTATCTGAATGAAACACAAAGCAAAGCAATAGACCAAGAGACAAGTTTACAATTATGAAAGTGGGAGCATCTGTGCTCTGCTCTTCATATTTCTGCTACTTTCGGCCATCCTGACCTACAAGGACTTCCAGCCTCTTGTCCAGACATCCTTATAATGACATCTGGCCCTAACACCAAAAATAGATTTACTACAATTTTCTTTTGAAACAGTGACTTGAAATTCTATAAACTACCAAGTATCAGCAGTCCATAGAGTTTTTTAGCAAAGGCTACAATGTTAGCAAAAAGCAGGTAATATTTGGCAACAATAATCACAGAGACTGAACAAATTTTCATTCGTAATAAACGCCTGATTTTCCCCACCTTTATAAAGGCCTGTCTGAGAAGCCAAAAGATAGGGGAAACACGAACTTTCTAAAAAGAATTGCCCTTATGTACTTCCCAGAAGTGGTTGTATCTTATGCCCAAATTGCATACGCTGATGGGATGGATTCTTTGGATGCCAAAAGAGTTGCACAAGGACACGTGATGATCTCAGGCAGTGTGTCAGACCTCCAAGAACATCCAGTATTGATTTGAACAACTCTGCCCACAATCTCTGCTTAAGACCTATTATTCCAGGCATACAGTCTACCCAATCTGGCCACCTCTGTAAGGCTGTTTGAGCCTGAGCTACATATTGGAGACAAGATCTTAGTGCACAGTCACTAACGCAATGCCTGGGGCACTTAAGCCCAACATGGGGGTACTTTCAGTTCCTGTTCTTTTATCACATGAGAGACAGTAGAATACACCTACTAGTCAAAAGCACAAACTCTGAAGTCCAAGAAATCTGTGTTCTAGTCCTACCCTGTCACAAAATAATTTTGAATATTTGGACAAATTATTTAGTATCTTTCAGCTCCTTTGTCAAATGGTATTGTTGTGAAGATTAAATGAGTTCATACACGTAAGGGACTTAGTAAGGTATAGAGTATTCAATAAATACTGGCTATTTTTTTAAGGGACGGGGTCTCCCTATGTTGCCCAAGCTGGTCTGGAACTCCTGGGCTCAAGAGATCCTCCTGCCTCAACCTCCAAAAGTGCTGGGATCATAGGCATGAGCCACCATGCCTATAGAGATAAATGTTGGTAAACCATAAGCAAGTTTAATTCCCTGGACTTTCAGCCGTGAGAGTATAGCAATTACACACTGTAGCCATTAGATGGCAGTAAGAATTTAGTCTATCTTTTGGCATAAAGCGCCAACTATTTCCTGGAGTTTTTATTCATCTAGGGCTTGGAGGCTTCACCCTCAAGCTTCTTCTTAGATCCACTTCCTTTGTCCTTGCTACCCTGTCCCCTGGTCTCTTAATTTGAACTGCTTGGTCTCTGGAAGCCCTGTAACATCATGGGTCTCTACTCTTCCCTCTGGTTTGCACATACTACATCCATTTGTGTCTGTCTCTTCCTCAGATACAAACCACATCAGCACAGGGCCTGTGCCACACTGATTCAATCTCTCTCCTCTATTGGATTTTTTTCATGGGACTTCAAACATTCTGCAATCTCTCCAGCTTAAGAAGATCCTCCCTGGATCAGGCAGCCCTCTCTAGGTATTGCTTTCTAACTCTGTCCCCACAATTCAGACCTCCGTTTTGAGCCTGACCTATATACCCCAGCTATCTATTTGACTGATTTCATGCAGGCATCTGACACCTTAGTCATTCAAAACTGGATTTCACCCCCAAAAGCCCTCTCTTCCAGCAATCCATATCTCAACAAATGGAACCCCCATCCACTCTCTCCTCCAACCAGAAAGGTAGGCTTATCCCTGACACCTTTCTCCTACCCTCTCCCCACATATAATCCTTACCAAGTCCTGTCAATTTGATTTCTTAAATATGGGTATAAACTTTCACATTGCTGCCTTTCCACTGCAGAGGTGTCAGGGATAAGCCCACCTTTCTTGTTGGAGCAGAGAGTGGATGGGGGTTCCATTTGTCGAGGTAAGGAACACTGGAAGGGAAGGCTTAGTCCAAGCTAAGCTAAGGTGAAAGTCCTACTCTCAGCTGGGCCACAGCAATTGCCACTGCCTTGTCTATTATCTTCTCAGCAGCCAGAATGATGTTTTAAAATACAAATTTGGCCATGTGACTACTCAGTGTTAAACCTTTCCCTGGCCACCTATTGCTAGTAGGTGAAGTTCAAAGTTCTTATTGTACCTACAAGGCTTTGCACAGTCTGCCTTCAGCTTATCGCTCCACCCTACTCCTCCCTCTCCCTCTCCAGCCCTCTCCCGTTCCTGAAGTGGCATCAAGCTCCTTCATATTCATACCTTCAAACACTTTATTCCTTCCAGATGAACTGCTCCCTCCTCCACAGCTGGGCCTGGCTAACTCCCATCATCCTTTAAGACTCCATTTAAGTGTTACTTTCTCAGGGAGGCCTTCTCTGTCCTCAGCACCACTCCTCTCCCTGCCACCCCTCCAGGTTAGATAAGTTCTTCCTATTATAATCTCAAGGTATTTTGTGTTTTTTCTTTATAACAGTTATCACAATTATAATTATGTTTCGTTATGTATTTATCTAATAATCCTCTCTCTCATTAGACTATCTTGCTTATCTTTGTGTTCCCAGCACCTGGCACAGTGCCTAGTACATAAAAATCATTCAACAAACATTGTTGGTTAAAGATTAAATGGCTTTTTTTCCTCAAACTGGCCATTCTCACTCTCACAGTGTCTTGGCAGAAACTGCTAGAAAGTAACAGCCCAACACACACACACACATACACACACACACACACACACGCACACAGAGAAAGAAAGAGAGACATGCACCAAATATAGTCTCTATACAAATAACACTCATCCTTCACTACTTAATTCAAATGTCACGTCAACAATGCAACCATAAGAAAAAACTAAAAGTAGACATTGGCTTTGGGATGGGAGAAAGGACAGAATCAGCAAGCATCTTGAGGATATTGCTGATGAAAGTTTGAAGAGCTTCAAGGAGACGGTTGATATAGAACTTGCAGACAGTGAGGAAAATGTTATCAGATGCTGGATTAAAGAACACCCAAAAGATGCCTTGGCCAAACAGTTAACAAAATCATCACTGCAGCAATGTAGAAAATAAAAAAATATATCAATAAAATGGCAGATCTGACTAAGGATATTCCCAGGCAGAATATCATAAGAGCTGATTTCTTTTAGCTGCATATAATAAAATACTAGTAGAGAAAAATAAGCTAAAGAACAAACTATTCAGTTTTTTAACAGAATATGGAGAAAATGTAAAGGATCCGGAACTTGCTATATTCAAAATAAATATGTCCGTCATTCCCAGTCTCTTCCAGTGAATGATTTTGAAAGAAAGAAATGGTTTGGGGGCAAAGATCAAATTCAGGGAGTGGTTTGTAAGACCCTTTGTTAAAACCTTAGAAAAACCTTTAACAAAAAAGAACTCCATCCTGCCTGATCAACAGAATACTGTGGAAGTCACATTGCTCCAGTTTCTTGGATCAGACCTTGAGTGACTGGCAGATTCCAGAATACTCAAACACTCACCATGGTATGTGTCATTTTTAAAAGGAGGGGTTGGGAGAGTTTGTGTGTAAATTTTCTGTTGATGATCCCCACTAAAGACTTGCTAGGTCTTCTCAACAGTTCATTACTGTAATGAACAACCAAGTTATTTGCCTTGAGCCTGGTCAGGAGTCTCCTGAAATAGCAAAGTTATGTTAATGAAAACAGTGAAATGATAAAGTCATCTTAATGTAGATGGTAAGTTATATGGGTTTGGTAGTTTGGGTCCCTAGAGTTTTCATTCTATATGAATTGATATTGAAAGAGCTGTCAAAATAAAAGTTGCACTGGGCAAAGTTGAACAGGAAGAGATACTTTATTCAAGACTATTGCAACAAGGGACAGAGATTAAACTCAACTCAGCTGAAACAAAAGCCTGGCGAGAGTTTAACAGCTGGAGTAGAGGGAATCATAAGACAGTGGTGTTCACTAATTGGCTGAACCCAAAGCAAACTTTCTCTGCTTATAACAGGAGGTACTTGTATAACTTGGAGCAAAATGTCTACTGAAGTTAGGCTCCTACCCTCCCATGGAGACTGGAAGATAAGGAGCTATTTCTTTTGATGTTTACATTTAAAACTAGTAAGAGGCTTCTAAGCAGATTTACATACATTTCAAAGGAGGCAGAGAAAAAATTTGCAATTACAAGTTTTCTCCAGTGATTTAAGAAAAGGGAGGTCAGGGACCTAGAGTCAGGAAAAAAAAAAAAAAAAACACCTGTCTTAATTTTACTTAAGCTGAGGGGAATGTTGAAGGCCATCTCAATCAAAGCATTCCTGTTATTTAAATTGAAGGAATTTCTCTATTTCTGCACTGTATTATTTGGGCTACATTGTGCTGTTGTCCTTATTGCACAAGCTTTTGGTGAGTTAGTTTGAATAATGTGTCTATATGTAATTTGAGTTGGGAAATAGGTGGAAACAGCCCAGTGAAGAAATGTCAAGTAATGCCTTCACTTAATTAATTCTGACCTCTTTCAGATGCCCCTTTTCCCAAGAAGATATAAAAGTATAGTAATAGGCATTAGGGCTGGGCATGGTGGCTCATACCTATAATACTAGCACTTTAGGAAGCCAAGGTGGGAGGACTGCTTGAGCCCAGGAGTTCAAGACCAACTTGGGCAACATAGAGAGACTCTGTCTCTACAAAAAATTAAAAAATCAACTGGGTGTGGTGATGCATGCCTGTAGTTCCAGCTATGCAGGAGGAGGATTGCTTGAGCCTGGGAGGTCAAGGCTGCAGTGAGCTGGGATGGTGCCACTGCACTCCAGCCTGGGCAACAGGGTCAGACTCTGTCTCAAAAAAAAAAGAAAAAGAAAATAGATACTGGGAGCATGGCCAGTTGTAACTATGCAAGGGAAAGGACACGCCTGTTAGCTGTTAGCAGTGAGCAAATCAAGGGACTTCAGAAACCCAAAAGGCTCCTTATGTGAAGAAGTTGGCTGCAGAATTTAACCCCAGCCTTCACATGTCACAGGCTAAATTAGTTTGCTATGGCTGTCATAGCAAAATATCACAGACTGGTGGCTTAAACAGAAATTTATTTCTCATAGTTCTGGATGCTAGAAGCCCAAGATTAAAGTATCAATAGATTTTGTTTCTCCTGAGGCCTTTTTCATTGGCTTTGTTGACCTAAAGGAAGAAACTGAGGCAAAGTAAATATAAGCAGAGAGTTTATTTGGGGCCAAGTTTGAGGACTGTAACCCAGAAAACACAGATTCAAGTTGCCTTGTATATGTGTTCTGGCTAACAGCATTCAAATGTGGAGTTTTTTGTTGGTTTGCTTCTTGTTTGTTTTTGTGGAAACGAGGTCTCCCTATGTTACCCAGTCTCATCTCAAACTCTTGGCCTGAAGGGATCCTCCCACTTTGGCCTCCCAAAGTGCTGGGATTACAGGCATGAGCCACCATGCTTGACTATACATGGGTTTTTAAAGGAAAGAAGAAGGGGCAGTTCCTAAGTTGTTTACTAAAAATTTGTGTTAAAATACTATAAGCTACTAATTGACTATACATTGTTCTTTGCATCACAAATTCCAGAAACATGAAGATAATGGGTCGGGGTCACATTGTTCAACTTGTGGTGGCATTATCAATCACTCCTCTGGGGTTATTTCATTGATGAGCATATAACCCTGCCTTAATTTTTTTTCCCTCAAGGTAGAATTTATTAATAAGTTATGGTACATTCATAAAATGGAATACTACAAAGCAATGAAAATTAAACTACAGCTACCTACATCCATATGGATGAATTTCAAAAACAATGCTAAACTAAAAAACAAGCCAAGGAAGAGCATATGCAGAATAAATGCCTTTATATAAAGATTAAAAACAGGCAAAACTAAGCACTCTATTATTTAGGGACATGTTACTAGGTGGTAAAAACAATAAAGAAAACTAAGGGAGTTATTAACATAAGTTCTGGATAGTAATTTCTTCTGGAAATGAATGATTGGCATGCAATCCAGCAAGAATATATCCAGAGATTCTGGGGTATGTAAAGTTCAAACACTTGGTCCATTAGTAGGTACATGAATATTAATTATTGCTCCTTAAGTTATACATACATGTTTTCATATACTTTTTTGTATGTATGCTATATTTTCAAAATAAAAATAAAGACGTGACCTACAGAGTGTAATCGTAGGCACAGGGAAGGGTGGGGGGCTTTGATAGAGATGTTAGGTCAGTGGCAATGAAAATCACACCAATGTATAATCTATGGTCAAGTTATTAATCCACAAAGTATGGATTTAATTAGTTAAACTCCCAAATGACAGTCTTTCCCTTCTTAACAAGTTCTTGGGAGCCACCTTGTTAATCCTCCATTCTGGTTACATTTCATTAGGATAAGCATTTGAGACATCTTTGCTGGCTTTTTACCACATGAGACATTCAAACAAAGTATAGGTTTTTTATTATATTCTTTGGAAATAATTATGACAGACAATAAGTTTCACATACCATTAATAAATTATGTGGTCCTGGGCCAGGTGTGGTGGCTCACGCCTGTAATCCCAGCACTTTGGGAGGCCGAGGCAGGTGGATCATGAGGTCAGGAGATCGAGACCATCCTGGCTAACACGGTGAAACCCTGTCTCTACTGAAAATACAAAAAAATTAGCTGGGCATGGTGGTGGGCACCTGTAGTCCCAGGTACTGGGGAGGCTGAGGCAGGAGAATGGCATGAACCCAGGAGGCAGAGCTTGCAGTGAGCCAAGATTGCACCACTGCACTCCAGCCTGGGCAACAGAGCGAGACTCCATCTCAAAAAAAAAAAAAAAAAAAAAAATGTGGCCCTGAAGAATTTACTTGAGTGACCCCATTTCCTCATCTGCAATTAATAGCAGTGTGGCAAAGACATTTATTGCTATTGATGATAACCTTGCCTTTAAATGATTAATTCCTGACATGGGTGTGAGGGGCATGACTGAAGACTCACTCATGTCTGTCTGGGCCTGATAAACTTTGCATACATCCCATTCTTCAAACTGCTATGAGCTACTTTTCTCGGCTAGCAGATGGCCATCTTCTCACTGTGTCCTTACGTGGCCGTCCTTCAGTCTGTGTAATGTCTGCATTCTAATCTCCTCTTCTTATGAGGATACCAGATTTTTTGGATTAAGGCCAGCCCTAGTGACCTTATTTTATCTTAATTACCACTTTAAAGGTGCTAGCTCTAAATATAGTCACATTCTGAAAGTCAGGACTTCAACATATGAATGTCAGGGGACACAGTTCAGCCCATAATGCAGAACATGACTAAAAGTGAGACTTGACTGTCACTCATGTTTGAAATGCTTGTTCCCTGGTGCCACAAAGAAATAGCACTTGAACATACATTTAATTTTCTCAGCAAGGCCATTTTTATTCTCTACAGAAAGGGTACATTCACCAGCAGTTTTGCCACAAGAGTACACCGAACAAAGGAGACAGGGTTATTTATAACCTGACGCATCCACCCTACTGCTGTGTCTGGTTTCCATTGGCTGGAATGGGACCTCACTGTAACCCACATGGACCTAGGGGGACTGAACAAAGGGGGCAAATGTGGGAATAAAACACAAGAGATGAAAGAGTATATTTGGAAGAAGGGGTCAGAGGGCACCTTGCCTCTAGTGGACAAGGGCCCTGAGCTTTACACAGCCCTCCGTATTTATTAGGCAATAGAGATAGCAAGAAGGAGGGGAGTGGTTGTTGGCTGGCATTTTATTCACAGCAGGCTGGCAAGACTGCATTCTTAGAACAATAGGAGCTAGATCTCTCAATAGATAACTTCAAGGAGCCTGGCACCATGGAGTGAGGCCCTCAGCAAACGTTTTGGTAGCAGGGCAGTGTGAGTTTGGCCACATCCTGCATTCATGATAAACAGTTTGCCGTTTGATCATATAGCCTCCAGCAGAATACTAAGTTGGTCATGTCCCACAGGCTTTCGGCTCCCTGCATATCCCACTTTTTGTTTATGTATTAATTGAAAGAATGTAAGGCCAGACTGGGTAGCTCTCATTCTCTGATTGGTGGTCCATCCAATTTTACAGAAAACATAGCATTAGAACAGTGTTGTGACTCTGGCCGGCATTCTGTCTGTCTTTACACTCAGGCTCAGCTGTCTCATGGTTCGTACCAGAAGGACCGGGCTCATGGTTGGCCACCCTGGGTTCCTCCAGTCTCCCATTCCATGGTCACACATGTCTTGAGGGCACCCACAGGGTTTGTCCATCTGTAAAAACACAAGTATATCCTCTTCCCCACGTCAGTAAATCCACCGAACCTTTACATTGTCCTTCTTCCGGGGATTTCCATAACACTTTTGGATAAACTTTCCTCTTTTCCTTTAACATTTGCCAATGTCTTTCTACTGGAGTCTTACCATCCATACTAGGAGTCAAAAAATTTAAAGTAGAGGCCGGGCGCGGTGGCTCACGCCTGTAATCCCAGCACTTTGGGAGGCCAAGGCGGGCAGATCACAAGGTCAGGAGATCAAGACCATCCTGGCAAACACGGTGAAACCCCATCTCTACTAAAAATACAAAAATATTAGTCAGGCGTGGTGGCGGGCACCTGTAGTCCCAGCTACTCAGGTGGCTGAGACAGGAGAATGGCATGGACCCAGGGGGCAGAGCTTGCAGTGAGCAGAGATCGTGCCACTGCACTCCAGCCTGGATGACAGAGCAAGACCCCATCTAAAAAAAAAAAAAAACTTAAAGTAACTAAGGCTAAAGGTAGTTTCGATTGAGGTGGTAGTTGGCCTCCTATACCCCCTTTTTGTTTTTTCAACATGCATTGTAATGTTTGATGGGCCCATTCTATAATGACTTGTCCTCTAGCATCATAAGGAATTCCTGTTTTATGGGTTATAGCCCAAAGCTGTAAGAAATTTTGAAAAGCATGACTAGTATAAGCGGTTCCATTATCAGTTTTTAATTGTTTAAGTATCCCCATATGAGCAAATGATGACAATGTCGCCATACATGACCAGCTGTCTCACCTGCTTGGCATGTAGCATGCAGCATCTATAGTCACATGAACATAGCTAAGCTTACCAAAGGTAACTATTGTGTAACATCCATTTGCCAAACTTCATTTGGAGCCAAACCTCATGAGTTACAGCCTTCTACAGGTGTGGCTCCAGGGACATGCTGACAAGTAGGACAGGCTTGTATTATAGCCCTAGCTTGGCTGCAAGATAAATGGAACACGCAAGTAAGGGTGGAAGTATTTTGATGCAGAAGCGCATGAGATGCTTGAGCTTGCTGAAACACAGAACAAATCAATTTATATCTACTTTATCATTCCCTAGGGATAATGGTCCTGGAAGTTGTGTATGAGAACAAATATCAGAAATATGAAAAGGATCTGCATGAGAACGAGTAACTCGCTGAAGTCTTTTTTTGTTTTGTTTTGTTTTGTTTTTCACATTAGATGTTGGTAGAAATTTTTATTTTTTTAACTTTTAGGTTCGGTGAACATATGTAGGTTTGTTATATAAATAAATTGCATGTCACAGAAGTTTGGTGTACAGATTATTTTGCCACCCACATAATAAGCATAGAAACTGATAGGTAATTTTTGGATCCTCATCCTCTTCCCTCCCTCTATCCTCAAGCACGCCCCAGTGTCTGCTGTTCCTTTGTGTCCATGTGTACTCAATGTTTGGCTCCCACTTATATGTGTGAACATGATGTCTTAAAAATAAATTAAACAGTTCTGGGTCTAGTGTACTTTTAATTGTAGCAGTTTCTATGTGACTGGTTACATTTACAACATAAGCTGAATCACAGACAATGTTGATAGGATCTGAAGCTGCGAGCTGTAAAACCTGAATGACTGCAATTAGCTCTGAGCCTTGAGCTGAAGCCCCAGATGTCATTATTATTTGAGTATGTTTACGTCCATAGATAGCAGCATGACCTCTGGAAGAGCCATCAGTAAAGTAAGTCTGTCCACCTGCAATAGGCTTGTGATGAGTAATCACAGAAAGAATGAAAGAATGGATTTTATAAAACTGTAAAATTTTGTCTGAGGGGTAGTGATTATCTATAGCACCCATGAAATCTGCAAAAGCAATTTGCCAGGCAGTTGACATTTCCCAAGCTGTGGCTTGTTGCTGGGAGTCTAAAGGAACAATAATTTTGTCAGGGTCATATCCCATAAGCATTTTTGACCTATGCCTGCCCATAGTCACAATTTGTGTAATTAAAGAAAGATAAACTTGCAAGGTTTTGACTGTTTGATTAGGTAGAAAGAGCCATTCTATTACTGTTGCAGACTTGTCTATGAACTGGCCCAATAGTCCTGTTGGAGAGTGGGGGGTAGGAGGAATAAACAAAAGCAAAGGTTTTTGCAGTTGTAGCTGTGAGGCATGTCTCTGCTGTAACATTTTCTCTACAAGCCGTAATTCGGCTTCTGCCTCTTTAGTTAGTTGCCATGGGGAATTTAAAGTAGAATCTCCTTGCAGGGTTTGGTAAAGATGTGTAAGTTGATAGGTAGCAATACCTAACATTGGCTGTAGCCAATTAATATCTCCTAATAATTGTAGAAAATCATTTAAAGTCTGTAACCTGTCTTTACAGAGAACTACTTTCTGAGGCCGTACACTTCTCTCCATAACAATAATTCCTAAGTATTGGTATGGGGAAGTTGTTTGTACCTTTTTCAGAGCTATTTTGAGATTCCATTTAGTCAAAGCTTGCTTCGTTTCTCTGAATAACTGCTGTAGGATTTGATCTATAGGAGGGGCCAAAAGAATATCATCCATAAAATGAATGATGTAAGCAGTAGGAAACATATTCCGAGACTCCTTTAATGCCTGTCCTACAAAATGTTGACATAGCATGACTTGGGGGTAAAACTCTCCATTGATAACAAGAAACAGGTTCTCTTTGGTTAATAGAAGGCACAGAGAAGGCGAATCAAGGCTTATCCTTCTCATGTAAGAATATAGTAAAGAAACAATCCTTAAGATCTATTAATACAAGAGGCCAGACTCTTGGAATAGCCACTGAAGATGGTATACCTTTTTGTAAGGCATCCATCCATTTTATATGTGTATTAATAGCTCTTAAATCTTGTAGCAGTCACCATCTTCTGGACTTTTTTAGAATAACAAACACTGGAGAATTCCAGGAGCTAACTGACTCCTCTATGTGTCCAGCATCCCACTGATCTTTTACTGGCTGTTGAAGTTGTGTCGGCTTCTCCTGAGATAGGGGCCATTGATCCACCCACATGGGTTTGTCACTGAGCCATTCTAATGGTAAGGCAGTGGGCAGAGGAGAAATATCAATGACCTCCATCAGAAATCCTGACGTCCTAGCCCTTAGCTATCTGTTTTTCCAGTTACTGCTATTGGGTTAGGATTTCCCTGAAGAAATTTTCCTAAAGGTTTTCCCTGCTGATATCCCATGTTCTTTAACATTTTAAGTTCTGGGTTATCAAAAGTTTCATTTGTAAGTCTCATATCCCATGCTGTAAGTCTCAACCCCATAATTTGATGGCTATACTTGCAACATGAGGCTGAAAAGTACATGACTGTCCATCCACACCAAGACAAGATAAAATTTCAGCATACTGTTGAACACTTTGAGCTGTTCCTACTCCCATTAGGGACATAGAAGTTAATTGCAAGGGCCAGGATGGGGGGCCAATTGTCTTTACATATTACTGAAACATCAGCTCCCATATCCATAAGCCCATAAAATGTCTGTCCTTTAATTTGTACTACACAGGTGGCTCTATTAGAGGCTATGGGTTGGGATAGATAGATTTCCCAAGTAGTTGTGCTCCCAAACCCTTTATTTCCTCATTTCTCCTTTCATGGAGAAGGGTGTAATTTGCAGGGAATAAGCAATAATTGAGCAATATATTCTCCTGGTTCAAAAACCCAAAGATCTTGTGACATTAAAACTACTTGAATTTCTCCTTCATAATCAGAGCCAGTCACTACAGTAATGCCTTGCAAGTTAAGGCAGCTTTTGGCTAAAATTAGTCTCATATATCCTGCTGGTAAAGGTCCCCAAATGCCAGTGGGAACTTTCATAGGTTTGTCTCCACCAACTAAAGTGATTCTTTCTCTGGCGGGTAGATCTAATCCTGCACTTCCTGGTGTTCCTGGGGTGAGGGGATCAATGTGCCTCTGGGAACTGACCTCTGAAATGGGGTTGAGGTCTGGACTGGGAATGCCCTTATTGTTTGTGGGGCCTGGGTCCAGGCCCCCATCTCGTTTCCCAGCAGGGGGGTGCCATTCTGATGAAATTTTGAGTGGCACTGATTAGCCCAGTGATTTCCTTTCATACAGTGAGGACAGAATCCTGGTGTTTATTCTGCTGGGTGGGGCACTGCATTGTAAGGTCCTTTCTGTCCTGAGATCTGGCAGCATTCCTTTTTAAAATGTCCAGTTTTTCCACATTTATAATATTTTCCCGTTTTGGGGTTTGACCCTTGGCTCCTTTTAGATTTGTCAACTGATAAATTAGCTATTGCTTGTGCTAACATTGCAGAGTGATGAAGCTCAGTTCCTACATCTTGACAAGCTCTGAGAAAATTTCCCAAGTTTTTTGTACACCTCACCAGTGCCAGTGCACATTTACAATCCGTGTTTGCATCCTCAAAAGCTAGTGTTAAGGTTAGCATTTCTGCAGCCGCAGTATGAGAAATCTGACACTTCACTGCCTCTTGTAATCATGCAAGAAATTGCACATAGGGTTCCTGCAACCCTTGTATGATACATAAAAAGGATTGTACTGGGACTCCTTCAGGAATAGTGGCCCAGGTGCATTTAGTGGCCTGTGCACACTGCTGATAAGCAACATCTGGGAGTCCCATTTGAGGTTCCAGGTCTGAATAAGGGCCATTACCTAATAGCATATCCTCTGTAATGTCTCCATTTCCAGCAGCACAGTTCTGTCTAGCCTGGTCTGCACACATTTCTTGCCAATTTAAATTCCATGTCAGATATGCAGTAGCCGACAAGCAAATTCACGCCAAGTGTTTCACATCAAATGGTAAAAGACGCATAGCACCAAACACAGATTCTAGCAATCCTAAGGTGAATGGGTTCTGTACGCCATTGTTTACCACACTCGCTTTTAATTCCTTTAACAAGTTAAAATCTAGTGGAGTGTGTTCATGAATAACCTGCTGTGCATTGTTAGGATTAGGCCTTATGGAAATAGGAAAAGCGTGAGGTCCTAAGGGCTCTCCAGCTATTGCAGCAGAGCATAAAATTCTTTGTATTGGAGTCTCTATTTCTGCCACCAAAGGAGGCGGTACAAATGTTTCTGCAACTGGAGGAGGCAGTATAGGCCAACTTTTATCCTCCCTCTCCTGTTTTTTATTTTCAGTTGGAGCTGTGGGTGGGACAACAGATTCTTTTAGATTTTTAGATTCAGCCTGCTGTCCCGCAGAATAATGAGATAATAGCAGAAGTACAGTACAAACTAAACTCCAAGTGGAGAAAACAGAAGAATCAACTTCAAGACCTTTTTGATGAGCCTGTTTTAATCCTTCTCCTGCTCTATCCCAGTTTTCCACATCAAGAGTGCCTGCCTGTGGAAACCATGAGTTATGCATAATAACTTTGTGTGGCTTCTGCAGGAGGTTAGTGTCTGAGAATTAACCTGAGCTCCAGACTGTCTCAACAGAACTTTAAGCAACTGCACATAATGTTTTTCTTCAACAGACAAGTTATTCCCCCTGCTACCCTGATTCAGAAAGCTTCCCATTCCCAGCACTTCTATAAAGCACTGCTCCCAGTACCTCTTTAGAGCACTGACCTTATATATGCTGCCGGCAGACTCATCCTGGGGTCCCCGTTTGCCTTGTCAATTTCAGCTTCTCTGCTCCAGCAGATCTTTTTTGTTCACATCGTCGAAGTCCCGTGTTCAGACGCCACTTGTTGGCATCCTTGGCGTCCCTGTTCTGAGTCACCACTTGTTGAGAACCCAATTGTGTCACTGTTTGGGGCACCACTATGTAACCTGCATGGACCTAGGGGGACTGAACAAAGGGGGCAAACACGGGAATAAAAGACAAGAGGCAAAAGAGTATATTTGGAAGAAGGGGTCGGAGGGCACCTTGTCTCTAGTGGACAAGGGCCCTGAGCTTTACACTGCCCTCCATATTTATTAGGCAATAGAGATAGTGAGAAGGTGGGGAGTGGTTGTTGGCCAGCAGCTTGATTCGCAGCAGGCTTGCAAGACTGCATTCTTAGGTGCTAGACTTCTCAATAGATAACTTCAAGGAGCCCAGCGCCAGGGAGTGAGGCCCTCAACAAACCTTTTGGTGGCAGGGCAGTGTGAGTTTGCCCACATCCTGCATTCATGATAAACAGTTTGCTGTTTGATCCTATAGCCTCCAGCGAAATGCTGAGTTGGTCACTTCCCAGGGGCCTTCAGCTCCCTGCACCTCACATTCTGTATTTGTCCTGATTAGCCAGCAACTTAGAACTTTTTAAAAGAGGCAAAGGCAGAGGAGAACAAAGGAGGAAGTAACTTGTGGAATGCTGAGAAAGGTAAAAACACCTCCAAATAAGGAAGAGGAACAGACTATGACTTAATACTTGCTTGGACCAGTGTAAGCATGCCAGGGCAAATATTTAGGCTAAATTGTGGGAGCTAAGAACACAAAGTACATTGATTTCTTTATTATAGCTAGCAGATATCTAAGAATGTTAGCACAGGTCTTTGAATAAATTTTGTTTCTGAGAGAAGTTACTATTTATTCCTAATTAGACGGGGAGGAAAGTCTCTTTGAAGAGGAACCTCTATTTTATTTTTACACTCAGAAGCCCGGGCAGCTCTGCCGGGAGTGCAGGGAGGCAGCTCTCCTGGGGGTGCAGGTAGGCAGCTCTGCTGGGGGTGCGGGGAGGCAGCCAGGCTTTTGTTGCACTTCCATCTACTGGCAGCACACACAGAAAGGAAATACTCCCAGTGGCTAGATTCCACCCATCATATCATTGGACTGAGTGAAAACTTTCAGAACTCTAATTTAAAAAATGAATGCATTCATGAATATTACTAACCTAACATCCAGCTGAATAATAATTAAATACATGGGGCTAGCCTGACAGAGGGTGGAAATGCTTTCTTTAACTTTTCTCTTTGAAACATTGCTGATTATTTTATGTTTTGTTTTCCAGAGTCAAGAAAATGTCTCTTTTTAGCTAATTATAGCTTACAGCAACTGGGTAACCTTTTGTGAGCAAAATTAAAACATCTGCATTTCTCCCTACCTGATTTCTCTAAAATTTGGAAACTATTCATGAGTATTTGTATTTTGTGGCAATATAGTTATTTGCATAAGATCAATAAGAATCTGTTTTCTTTTGTAACAGAACACATTGGATACACCGGTTATTTTACCAAGGCTTTGGCTGGAATGTTACATTTTTGAATGTGACCAAACTGCTTTGAGGAATTGAGGCTGACTTTATAAAGCCAATAGACATGGGAAAGACTGGCCTCATGCCTTGCCCACACGGTTCTCTTACAAGGTTCCTCAGCTTGCGGTAAGTAAAGACTGTCATTTTCTGATGCACCCAGGAACCACAAGATATTTTGGGTCATTGAGAAGATAGGAATTCACTCAATTTTTACATATGTTACAAGCAGTCCCACAGTGAATCCCTGGCTTGGCTTACTAGTCTTTAGAGGTTTTAAAAGTGTAATCTGAGATTTCTTATTAAAAATTCTGCAAAGTCAATGGAAAAGAGCCTATATGGCCAATCATTCTTCTTGTTGCACATTTTGCAAATAATCAGGCCAAGTATAATACTAAAACTTATTTAGCCAATAAATTTGTCCTACTAACATTTATATTTGGTAGGAATGGGGAACTGGGGAGAGAAAAAAATTGTTTTAGAAGGAAACTATACCATCCTTCTTATAAGATTCTAGCCCTGACCATTGTTTTTTAGTTGTTTTTTAGTTTTTACTATTTGTCTACAATTTGGACTGAATTCTGAATAATGTCCCAGCTCTAACAATCCTCCAAAGAAGAAATTGGATTTAATTTCCTTCATGATATTTTTAGTTGACTCCCCAGTAGAATAGGTTTTGTTGTTGTTGTTCTGATATACAAATTCTTTTTTTGATTATAATTCCTATATGCATTACATATATCTCTTGTTTTACTTCTTCCACAAAGACTAAACTCATGATATTCTGAAGACTAACAATGATTCAACAAGCAACAGCAACTACATACTTGACTGAGGTGCCATTTTTGCCACCTGTGATGCCATCTCAATTTGGCTTTTGACAGTCTTAAAATTCCTCATTGTAACATTTCCTCACCTCTCCTTCCCATGTGAGACAGCACCATCATGAGCCTTCTCAAACTGAAGGAGGAAGGATATTGATCACTCTAACCTAAGCAGAAATTGATCATTAATGTTTCCATGGAAAGATTTTTGATCAACAGGTGGGAAATGAGAAAAAAAATTGCTCAGAGCCATCTAAGTTATGTGAAGCATACAAAATTTGTCAGGCCCAGAGAGACATGAGTATGGTTATGGGACCTCAATCACACCTCTCACACCCATACCCAGGGCCAACTGTTTAAAGACATTTTGTTCCTGACTAGCTGCTTTGCCCATTATCTTCATGTTCCTGGAGTTTGTGATACAAAGAACAGTGTATAACCAATCAATAGCTTATGTTATTTTAATGTAAATTCTTGGTAAACAACTTGGGAACTGCCTCTTTGTTTCCTTTAAAACCCACTTGTAACTGCTGCTCATAGGGGTGTATATTCAGGTTAACTTGCATCTACGCTCTTGCGTTGCAGTGTTCAAGCTTAGTCCAAATGAACTCTCTACTTACATTGTTTGCCTCGATTTTTTTTCTTCTTTCCGTTGACATATCAATGCAAGGGACCGGAGCAAATATTCCTAGACTGAAACAGATTAAATGCAAGAAAGAGAAGAAAACTTGAAAATATGCATTATCATTGTAGAGAGACTCAATGATTTTTAAAAGAGCATATTCTCAAAAAAAAAGAGATCAATTTTAAAACAATATAGGGGAAATCTTAAAATGGTTTTAAAAATAACTCTGTGGAGAAATGGAGTAACAAAATAGATAACACTGAATACCAAATGATGAGTTAGAAATTCACAGAATGAATTTGATTGAAATTCACGTAAAATTAATGAGAAGTAAAAATTATCATGAAAAAGATAGGAAACATGGAGAATTGATCTGATAGCTCCAATACTCATAGGAGTTTAGATTAAAAAGCAGAAGTGGGGTGGAAGCTATACCCCAAAATAAAAAAGAGCAGAAATAAAAGCAAATCTCATTTTTGCTACACTGGAACTAGAAAACAGTGAAATAATGTTTAGAGTTTCTTTCTTCTTCTTCTTTTTTTTTTTTGACAAAGTCTCCCTCTTGTCCCCTAGGCTGTAGTGCAATGGTGCGATCTCAGCTCACTGCAACCTCTGTGTCCTGGGTTCAAGTGATTCTCCTGCCTTGGCCCCCTGAGTAGCTGGGATTACAGGTGCCTGCCACCACACCCAGCTAATTTTTTTATTTTTAGTAGAGACGGTGTTTCACCATGTTGGCCAGGCTGGTCTAGAACTCCTGAACTCGGGTGATCCACCCACCTCGGCCTCCCAAAGTGCTGGGATTACAGGAGTGAGCCACCGATCCCAGCCTGTTTAGAGTTTCTTAAAGCATAACTATTGAAACCCAGGAATTGTATAGCCAACCAAACCTGTGGCATATAGAAAAATTATTTTAAAATAAAAGCTTTAGGCAAAATAAATTTAATAGAATTTATTTTAGCAAAGAACAATTCATGAATCAAGTATTGGGGGTCAGGAAGTGTTGCCCCAAAGACTGGCACTTTGATATGCTGAGTGGCCTAGAAGCTGCCTCAGAATCAAGGTCCCTCCAACCTTGTCTTACCCCCAGACACACACCTGCATTGCAGGAAGGGGCTGTCTCTGGGATTTTCTTATCTGTCCCGGAAAGCTTCTTTCCAAAAACAATGCAATTGCCTTTCTTCTCCTTCCTGAAATCTCATTACAGATCACAAAAAAAGGAGACAGGAATGCAACCTCACCTGGAAGGACTTTTTCATAAGAAAATAACAATCTCTCAGGTTCATTCAAATTCCAAAAAGAATCATTTACAAGTTAAGTTCTGTCCATTTGCTTCCCCTAATAATCATTTGCTACCCCTCAAAAGAATTGTCTACATTCCCCATCTCCCTCCCCTCCTATGAAAAGGGTATATAAGTTTCTGTGTCCCATTGGGTTATTGGGTAATCATTCTCCTGCAGTTCCCCCAGGCTATACACGTTAAAATAACTTTTGCATGCCTTTTCTCCTATTGATCTGCCTTGTGAGTTGATTTTCAGCAAACCTTCAGAGAGGGCTACTGGTTGCCCATTTTTATGGTTATTTCTTGATTATATGCTAAGCAAGGGATGGATTATTCATGAGTTTTCTGGGAAAGGAGTGGACAATTCCTGGAACTACGGGTTCATCCCCTTTTTAGACCAAATAGTGTAATTTCCTGACATTGCCATGACGTTTGTAAACTTTCATGGCACTAGTGGGAGTGTCTTTCAGCATGCTAATGAATTATAATTAGCATATAATGAGCTGTGAGGATGCCCAGAAGTCACACTCCTTGCCATCTTGGTTTTGGTGAGTTTTGACCAGCTTCTTTACTGTAACCTATTTTATCTGCCAGGTCTTTATGACCTGTATCTCCTGCCAACCTCTTATCTCATGCTGTGACTAAGAATGCCTTAACCTCCTGGGAATGCAGCTCAGTAAGTTCCATCCTTATTTTACCCAACCTCTATACAAGATGGAGTCACTCTGGTTTAAATGCCTCTGACAACTCCATTTTGGTTTGATCTATTAGGGCACAATGCAGGAGCTCAGTCTAAATCAATAGCCTCCTGTAAATTTTATTTAACAAAGGCAAATGGAAAACTGTTTTAGACATGCAAGGATGCAGAATGTATAACAATTATACAACATTTGAAAAAAATAACTGTTGGAGAAACTGAAACCAAATAAAAGTTCTTCTGAAAAAAACAGCTGAAGAAAAGGGAACATGTAGGATACAAAAGTGATAAGCCATTTTTAAATCAGAAAATCTTATAGTTCAATTTTAAAATAATTTGTCATGTATAACAACATATAATGTAATAATAAATGAAAGGCTATGAAAAGAGGTATAATAGAAAAAATAACAACAGTATTATACTAAAATATCTGATTATTTTCACAAACCTGGGAATGATAGCTGGGGAAAACAAGAAAATGCTTGCTTAAAGCCTTACCAATTAAAGGAATTACATAAAGGTTCTGCTCTCCAACCCAGACAAACCACAAAATAGCAAATGTTGAAACTCAACATCTGTTAAGTGATTATCATATGCCAGGCATAGCTCTAAGTACTTTACATTTATTATTAAATAACTCCTTTAATAAGTCTCAAATATTTAAACTATCCTGTAGGACAGGGCTACTGCAAGTGTAATTCTGGATCAGCAAGGACTAAGAGCTTGTTAGAAATGCAAGTTTTTGGGCCCCACCCCAGACCAACTGAATCCAAATCTCTGGGGAGGTGTCCATGAATCTGTTTTAATCAGCTCTCCAGGTGATGCTTTTGCACCCTAAAATTTGAGAAGCACACATCTCCTCAGTTAACGTGCTAGGATGAACTGGTATATTTCAAATGCATTAAAAGTTTACCAGGAAATAATGATCTTCTTAGACTTCTGAGAGCCCAGGCAACACCTGAAGCAACCAGAGTCCCAGAACATTGTCACTGTCCTCTCTGTGGGCTTCTCAGAAACTGGCTGAAACAGACGTGTGTCTGATGGGACCCTCTGTTCCCCACAGACAGTGAGCACTGTAAGTGATGTCTGGCATCACCACTCTGCCGGAAGCCACTGAGTGAAGGCTAGGAGATGCTTTAAACAATGTGCTGCTGCCTTGGTGGCTAAGAGGTTCCAGGTGCCCAGAGGAGTGCAGCATACACGCAATAATGTAGCTCATTCAGAGAATCAGAGTGGGCAGTTATCAGTTAGGGGCCTCTTGTGGGCACAGCTCTAGAAGGTGGCCCCAAATCTCTGCCTTTACATAGTCTTATGCTCATTTCCGTCTTAACTACCTGGTAGCAACTGTTCTTGCTTTGCATGTGCGTGCTGCAGAATAGCACTTCCTTATGATGAAAGAAAAACTTAAGTACATTTCAATTTTAGAGAGTTTATCGGAGCATTCAGAGATTCAAGAATTGGGGCAGCACCAGACCACAAGGGGCTATCACTCCATCAAGAAAGGCAAGAGGGGAAACTTTCATGCGCGTCCGTGTGAAGAGACCACCAAACAGGGTTTGTGTGAGCAACATGGCTGTTTATTTCACCTGGGTGCAGGCGGGCTGAGTCCGAAAAGAGAGTCAACAAAGGGAGATAAGGGTGGGGCCGTTTTATAGGATTTGGGTAGGTAAAGGAAAATTACAGTCAAAGGGGGTTTGTTCTCTGGCGGGCAGGAGTGGGGGTCGAAAGGTGCTCAGTGGGGGTGCTTTTTGAGCCAGGATGAGCCAGGAAAAGGACTTTCACAAAGTAATGTCATCACTTAAGGCAAGGACTGGCCATTTACCCTTCTTTTGTGGTGGGATGTCATCAGTTAAGGTGGGGCAGGGCATATTCACTTCTTTTGTGATTCTTCAGTTACTTCAGGCCATCTGGGCATATACGTGCAAGTCACAGGGGATGCGATGGCTTGGCTTGGGCTCAGAGGCTTGACATTCCTGCCTTCTTATATTAATAAGAAAAATAAAATAGTGTTGAAGTGCTGGGGCGGTGAAAATTTTTTGGGGGGTGGTATGGAGAGAGAGTGGGCGATGTTTCTCAGGGCTGCTTCAAGCGGGATTGGGGCGGCGTGGGAACCTAGAGTGGGAGAGATTAAGCTGAAGGGAGGTCTTGTGGTAAGGGGTGATATTGCGGGGATGTTAGAAGAAACATTTGTCGTATAGAATGATTGGTGATGGCCTGGATACAGTTTTGTATGAATTGAAAAACTAAATGGAATAACAGAAGGAGAAAAACAGGTATAAAAGGTCTAAGAATTGGGACGACTCAGGATAGCTGACTAGAGAGTGCCTAAGGAGATTCAGCATAGTCCTGCCAGCAAAGATTATTTATTTACTTCAAGAGTTAAGAGTGGCAGTTTGGGGATAGCACCAGGAGATATCAGCTGTGATGGCTTGGAAAAACAGTGTAAACCGGCAGTGTAAACAAGAGCAGGACATGTATGAGTAGTTGAGAATGGTGAATAGGAGTATGACTAGACAGAAGATAGTAGGGATGACAAGTTTTTTTGGGGGCACAGTCTAAGTTGGTCTGGTGTCTGGAATGAGACTGGGGCCTAACAAAAAGGAGAGTCTATACAGGAGCTTAAATGGGCTGTACCCTGTAGCATTCCGAGGACAGGCCTGAATTCTGAGAAGGAAAAGTGGTAAAAGTATTGTTCAGTCCTTTTTAAGTTGGTGGCTGAGCTTGGTGAGGTGTGTTTTTAAAAGACCTTTAGTCCATTCTACTTTTCTTGAAGATGGAGGACTGTAAGGGATATAAAGGTTTCACTGAATACTAAGAGCCTGAAAAACTGCTTGGCTGATTTGACTAATAAAGGCTCATCTGTTATCAGACTGTATTGAGGTGGGAAGGCTAAACTGAGGAATTATGTCTGACAGAAGGGAAGAAATGACTGCGGTGGCCTTCTCAGACCCTGTAGGAAAGGCCTTTACTTATTCAGTGAAAGTGTCTATTTAGACTAAGAGGTATTTTAGTTTCCAGACTCGGGCATGTTGAGTAAAGCTAATTTGCCAGTCCTGGGTGGGGGCAAATCCTTGAACTTGATGTGTAGGGAAGGGAGGGGGCCTGAATAATCCCTGAGGAGTAGCAGAATAGCAGATGGAACACTGAGAAGTTATTTCCTTGAGGATAGATTTCCATGATGGAAAGGAAATGAGAGGTTCTAAGCGGCAGGCTAGTGGCTTGTACTATAGCATAACCTGCCTTTGCTGGTGTGCAGCGATTAGGCTCGGTGGAACCATCATCAATAAATCAAGCGTGATCAGGGTGAGGAACAGGAAAGAAGGAAATCTGGGGAAATGGGGTGAATGTCAGGTGGATCAGAGAGATACAGTCATGGGGGTCAGGTGTGGTATCAGGAATAATGTGGGAGGCTGGATTGAAGTCTGGGCCAGGAACAACGGTAATTGTGGGAGACTCAACAAAGAGTGAGTACAGCTGAAGGAGCCGGGAAGCAGAAAGTATATGCATCAGGTATGAGGAAGAAAATAGATTTTTGAAGTTATGAGAACTGTAGAGAGTGAGTTGAGCATAGTTTGTGATTTTGAGGGCCTCTAAAAGTATTAAAGCAGCGGCAGCCGCTGCACGCAGACATGAGGGCTAGGCTAAAACAGTAAGGTCAAGTTGGACAGAAAGGCTACAGGGTATGGTCCTGGCTCTTGTGTAAGAATTCTGACCGCACTAACCATGCCTACGAAGGAAAGAAGTTGTTGTTTTGTAGAAGGAGCTTGGATTTGAGAGATCAGTCGGACACGATTGGCAGGGACAGCACGTGTGTTTTTATGAGAATTATGCCGAGATAGGTAACAGATGAGGAAGAAATTTGGGCTTGATTGAAGCAATGGGGGCTGTCTGTGAAGCTTTGCTGCAGTACAGCCTAGGTAATTTGCTGAGCTTGATGAGTGTCGGGGTCAGTCCAAGTGAAAGCGAAGAGAGGCTGGGATGAAGGGTGAAAAGGAATAGTAAAGAAAGCATGTTTGAGATCCAGAACAGAATAATGGGTTGTAGAGGCAGGTATTGAGGATAGGAGAGTATATGGGTTTGGCACCACAGGGTGGATAGGCAAAACAATTTGGTTGATAAGGCGCAGATCCTGAACTAACTTCTAAGGCGTGTCTGGTTTTAGGACAGGTAAAATGGGGGAATTGTAAGGAGAGTTTATAGGCTTTAAAAGGCCATGCTGTAGCAGGCGAGTGATAACAGGCTTCAATCTTTTTAAAGCATGCTGTGGGATGGGATATTGGTGTTGAGTGGGGTAAGGGTGATTAGGTTTCAATGAGATGGTAAGGGGTGCATGATCGGTCACCAAGGAGGGAGTAGAGGTATCTTATACTTGTGGGTTAAGGTAGGGGGATACAAGAGGAGGACGCAAAGAGGCTTTGGATTGGGAAGAAGGGTGGCAATGAGATATAGCTGTAGTCCAGGAATAGTCAGGGAAGCAGATAATTTAGTTAAAGTGTCTCAGCCTAATAAGGGAACTGGGCAGGTGGGGATAACTAAAAAGGAGTGCTTAAAAGAGTATTGTCTAAGCTGGCACCAGAGTTGGGGAGTTTTAAGAGGTTTAGAAGCCTGGCCGTCAACACTCACAACAGTTATGGAGGCAAGGGAAACAGGCCCTTGAAAAGAAGGTAATGTGGAGTGGGTAGCCTCCGTACTGATTAAGAAGGGGATGGGCTTATCTTCCACTGTGAGAGTTACCTGAAGCTCAGCGTCCGTGATGGTCTGGGGGCTTCTGAGGTGATCAGGCAGTGTCAGTCTTCAGCCGCTAAGCCGAGAAGATCTGGGAAGGAGTCAGTCAGAGAGCCTTGGGCGAGAGTTCCAGGGCTCTGGGAGTGGCTGCCAGGTGAGTTGAACAGTCCATTTTCAGTGGGGTCCCACACAGATGGGACGCAGCTTAGGAGGAATCTCAGGCTGCGGGCATTCCCTGGCCCAGTGGCCAGATTTCTGGCACGTGTAGCAAGCTCCTGTGGGAGGAGGTTCTGGAGGAATGCCTGGCCACTGCGGTTCAGGTGTTTGGAAGTTCTTGTGTGCTGGAGATGTGGCTGGGGTTTGTCTCACAGTGGAGGCAAGGAGTTGCAACTTTTTTCTGTTATTGTACACCTTGAAGGTGAGGTTAATTAAATCCTGTTGTGGGGTTTGAGGGCCGGAATTTAATTTTTGGAGTTTTATTTAATGTCGGGAGCAGATTGGGTAATAAAATGTGTTTTGAGAATAAGACGGCCTTTTGACCTTTTAGGGTCTAGGGCTGTAAAGTGTCTCAGGGTTGCTGCCAAACAAGTCATGAACTGGGCTGGATTTTTATATTTGATGAAAAAGAGCCTAAACGCTATCTGGTTTGGGATAAAGAAAAAGGAGCATTAACCTTGACTGTGCCTTTAGCTCTAGCCACCTTTTTAAGAGTAAATTGCTGGGCAGGAGGGGGAGGGCTAGTCATGGAACGAAACTGTAAGCCGGACCAGGTGTGAGAAGGGGCAATGATAAAAAGATTCTAGGGTGGAGGAGCAGAGGCTGAGGAAGAATAGGGACCTAGCTCGGCCTGGCGAGGAGCAGCCTGGGGAGGAAGGGAGAGGTCAGATGGGTCTGTAGAAAAGGAAGATTAGAAAGACTCAGAGACACTTGGGGTTGGTACTGAGGGGACAGGCAGGAGGGAAAGAAGGAAGATTTGGGATGAGTTGCACTGGGCACAGAGACTAGGAAGGCCCTGTTGTGTAAAAGAATGCCTGGATGTCAGGCACCTCAGACCGTTTGCCTATTTTATGACAAGAATTATTTAGATCTTGTAGGATGGAAAAATTCAAAGTGCCATTTTCTGGCTATTTGGAACTACTGTCGAGTTTGTATTGGGGTCAGGCGGCATTGCAGAAGAAAATAAGGCATTTAGGTTTTAGGTCAGGTGTGAGTTGAAGAGGTTATAAGTTTTTGAGAACACAGGCCAAGGGAGTAGAAGGAGGAATGGAGGGTGGAAGGTTGCCCATAGTGAAGGAAGCAAGCCTAGAGAAAAGAGAGAGTAGAGAAACGGAGGGAAGGGGTTTGGGGGTTCTTACCTTCCAAAAAAGTGGGAAAAGGGGTTGGGGCACAGAGATAAGAGGTCGGAGCATGGAAATAAGGGATTGGGGTGCAGAAATGAGGGATTGGGGCACAGAGATATGAGGTTGGGGCACGGAAATAAGGGATTGGGGCACAGAGATATGAGGTTGGGGTGTGGAAATAAGGGATTGGGGCACAGAGATAAGAGGTTGGGGTGTGGAAATAAGGGATTGAGGGTTCTTGCCCCATAGAAAAGTGGGACTTGCCACTAAGGGTGAAGGAGAAGGGGTTGAGGGGTACTTGCCCCTGCCCCAGAAAAGCGGGACTTGCCGCTAAGGGTGAAGGACCAAGGCAGGCATCCCTGCGTGGTCTGACACCCTTGAAACGTGAGTGTATAATCAGAGAGGCATCCCTGCAATCATTAAACACCAAGGGAAGGCTGCCTTCCCAGTCCGTGACTGGCCCCGGAGTTTTGGGTCCCCGGATAAAATGTGTCTCCTTTGTCTCTCCCAGAAAATGAAAGGAATTGAAATTAAGAGAAGGGAGAGATTGAAGAGTGGAAAGGAGAAAGTGGTTGAGGGACAGTGAGAGAGGTTGGAGAAGAGAGTAAGAAGAGGCCGCTTACCTGATTTGAAATTGGTGAGATGTTTCTTGGGCTGGTCGGTCTGAGGACCTGAGGTCCTAGGTGGATCTTTCTCATGGAGCAAAGAACAGGAGGACTGGGGATTGATCTCCCAAGGGAGGTCCCCCGATCCGAGTCACGGCACCAAATTTCATGTGCGTCTGTGTGAAGAGACCACCAAACAGGGTTTGTGTGAGCAACATGGCTGTTTATTTCACCTGGGTGCAGGCGGCTGAGTCCGAAAAGAGAGTCAACAAAGGGAGATAAGGGTGGGGCTGTTTTATAGGATTTGGGTAGGTAAAGGAAAATTACAGTCAAAGGGGGTTTGTTCTCTGGTGGGCAGGAGTGGGGGTCGAAAGTTGCTCAGTGGGGGTGCTTTTTGAGCCAGGAAAAGGACTTTCACAAGGTAATGTCATCACTTAAGGCAAGGACCGGCCATTTACCCTTCTTTTGTGGTGGAATGTCATCAGTTAAGGTGGGGCAGGGCATATTCACTTCTTTTGTGATTCTTCAGTTACTTCAGGCCATCTGTGCATATACGTGCAAGTCACAGGGGATGCGATGGCTTGGCTTGGGCTCAGAGGCCTGACAGAAACTTTATAAAGTTTTTGCAGAAGCAAGACAAAGAAAATAATTTTGATGGGTTAGAAATTAGTTGGTGGTTTCTGATTGGTGCTGTTTCTAGTTTCGATTTACTGATTACACTGGACTCTGGTTGGTTCACATAGGAATTTAGAGTGCCAAAGCCACCTTGGTCTAATGGCCTCCCAATTAGATTCTTTTAACAATTATCATTTTGAAATATTCAACATGAAAAACATTGAAATAGTTATGAAATCCATGCTCATTATCACAATAAATTGTAACATTACACTTGTCAATGAAAAAAAAAGAAACTGTTAGATTTTTAAGTTTCATAAACCAAAAATAAAATTCTAAGGCCCCCAACCTACTGATGGACTCCCCTCTCGGCCACTGGCATTCCAAAGTAAACCTGAAAAACTAGTTCAGACCATGACCGGAAGAGGTAGGTTAGACATGTGTCATTATAACTTCCTCCCTTTGGAATTCAGATGCAATTGACCAGCACTACCATTAAAACAGAGATCTTAACACAGAAACAGACCCTTTGTAACAGTAAGATACCAAATTCAAACCTGATTCTAGTATGGTGATTCATGACAGATAGTAGGTCCTGAAAGAAATTGAAATTATTTTCCCCAAAATATATTTCTTTGACATGTTCTTAAATGGCATGGCCCTGCAAAGCTGTCTCTTGTGTGGAAAATCCACATTCTGTAGAGAATCGTCTTCCCTTTCCATGTCTTTTCCCTGATCCAGGAGAGAATTAATTAAAAGTATGGAACCTTTTTAGGTCTGATAAGAGCTTTGAAGCCTGGTACCTGGGGTCTCCATCTGCATAATAAAAATCTTGGTGTCCACAACTTCTTATCTTAACCCAAACACTCCTTTCTATTGATTCCAGGCTTTAGATAATAACTCTTCCAATCAATTGCTAATCAGAAAATCTTTGAATCTACCTGTGACCTGAAAGCTCCCACTTCAAGTTATCCCATGTTTCTGCAGAGAAACACTGTACACCTCCTTATACATATTGATTGATGTTTGCCTGTAACTTTAATGTATAAAATCAAGCCATAAACCAACTACCTTGGGCACATGTTCTCAGGACCTTCTGGGGCTGTGTTATAGGTCATGGTCATCACATTTGGCTCACAATAAATCTCTGCAAATATTTTACAGTTTGACTCTTTTCGTCAACAATTTTTATCAACTACCTTGTCAGAATGGTTTGTTTTGTTTTGTTTCAGAGACAGGGTCTCTCTCACTCTGTCACCCAAGCTGGAGTACAGGGGCATGATCACAGCTCACCCACTACCTTGGCCTCCCAGGCTCAAGTGATCCTCCTGCCTCAGCCTCACAAGTAGCTGGGACCACAGGCACATGCCACCATGCCTGGCTAGTTTTTTATTTTTATTTTTGTAGAAACGGGGTCTCCCTATGTTGCCCAGGCTGGTCTCATACTCCTTGGCTTAAGTGACCCTTCCAGCCCAGCCTCCCAAAGTGCTGGGATTACAGGCATGAGCCACCATGCCTGGCCATTTTTATATTCATGACAACTATCAAAACTGTAAAGGAAACATCCCTAAGATGTCTTGATCAGAAATTGCATGTTGCAGTTTCAAGCATAGAAACTGATATTAGAAAACTTTACTTGCGGAAACAACCTCAAATTCCTTCTCCTAATTTCTGAAAACACTTTATTAGAAGTATACAAATTTAATATTTAATGTCTTATCTAATACTTTGTTAATCTTATAATTATGGCATATAAAATAAAATACTTTTTTCATCATAAAGATGTCCCCAAATGTCTTCTTGTTTTCTTATCTCTGTGTGCCATAAATTGAACAGTTTTGAATATTGTTTATCCTTTTGATTGCACTGAAGTCTGGTGTTTGGAAAAATAGTTCTTTTACTTACTTCTGTATTTATGTAAAATTTTAAAATAAGCATGTATTACTTTTGTGATTAAAACTTATCATAAATATTTAAAGTAAATTAAAATAAATAGTAAAGTAATATAGCATAATATAATTAGCAATATTTTCTTTAAAAATAAATAATATTTCTAGCTTTCTTTTGATTAGTGAAAAATGAAAAAATGCAAATTTAAAAAAAGAAAAAGTAAATAATACTAGATCACAGGTCACAAAACAGACACTCTGGAATGCTATAGTATAGTAGGTCAAACAATACAACCTTCCTTATTGGCAATTTGACAATATGCATCAAACATCTAAACAATGTTCAAAACCTTCAACCCAACAATCCTTTTTCCAAAATCTAGTCTAAAGGAATTAATTTTAAACAGTTAAATAATTTCACTGGAGAAAAAATTTTTTTTTAAGATTCTTTTTTTTTTCTTTTTTTTCTTTATTATACTTTAAGTTTTAGGGTACATGTGCACATTGTGCAGGTTAGTTACATATGTATATATGTGCCATGTTGGTGCACTGCACCCACTAACTCGTCATCTAGCATTATGTATATCTCCCAATGCTATCCTTCCCCCCTCCCCCCACCCCACAACAGTCCCCAGAGTGTGATGTTCCCCTTCCTGTGTCCATGTGATCTCATTGTTCAATTCCCACCTATGAGTGAGAATATGCAGTGTTTGGTTTTTTGTTCTTGCGATAGTTTACTGAGAGTGATGATTTCCAATTTCATCCATGTCCCTACAAAGGACATGAACTCATCATTTTTTATGGCTGCATAGTATTCCATGGTGTATATGTGCCACATTTTCTTAATCCAGTCTATCATTGTTGGACATTTGGGTTGGTTCCAAGTCTTTGCTATTGTGAATAATGCCGCAATAAACATACATGTGCATGTGTCTTTATAGCAGCATGATTTATAGTCCTTTCGGTATATACCCAGTAATGGGATGGCTGGGTCAAATGGTATTTCTAGTTCTAGATCCCTGAGGAATCACCACACTGACTTCCACAATGGTTGAACTAGTTTACAGTCCCACCAACAGTGTAAAAGTGTTCCTATTTCTCCACATCCTCTCCAGCACCTGTTGTTTCCTGACTTTTTAATGATTGCCATTCTAACTGGTGTGAGATGGTATCTCATTGTGGTTTTGATTTCCATTTCTCTGATGGCCAGTGATGATGAGCATTTTTTCATGTGCTTTTTGGCTGCATAAATGTCTTCTTTTGAGAAGTGTCTGTTCATGTCCTTCACCCACTTTTTGATGGGGTTGTTTGTTTTTTTCTTGTAAATTTGTTTGAGTTCATTGTAGATTCTGGATATTAGCTCTTTGTCAGATGAGTAGGTTGCAAAAATTTTCTCCCGTTTTGTAGGTTGCCTATTCACTCTGATGGTAGTTTCTTTTGCTGTGCAGAAGCTCTTTAGTTTAATTAGACCCCATTTGTCAATTTTGTCTTTTGTTGCCATTGCTTTTGGTGTTTTAGACATGAAGTCCTTGCCCATGCCTATGTCCTGAATGGTATTGCCTAGGTTTTCTTCTAGGGTTTTTATGGTTTTAGGCCTAACATTTAAGTCTTTAATCCATCTTGAATTGATTTTTGTATAAGGTGTAAGGAAGGGATCCAGTTTCAGCTTTTTACATATGGCTAGCCAGTTTTCCCAGCACCATTTATTAAATAGGGAATCCTTTCCCCATTGCTTGTTTTTCTCAGGTTTGTCAAAGATCAGATAGTTGTAGATATGCGGTGTTATTTCCGAGGGCTCTGTTCTGATCTATATCTCTGTTTTGGTACCAGTACCATGCTGTTTTGGTTACTGTAGCCTTGTAGTATAGTTTGAAGTCAGGTAGCGTGATGCCTCCAGCTTTGTTCTTTTGGCTTAGGATTGACTTGGCAAAGTGGGCTCTTTTTTGGTTCCATATGAACTTTAAGGTAGTTTTTTCCAATTCTGTGAAGAAAGTCATTGGTAGCTTGATGGGGATGGCATTGAATCTATAAATTACCTTGGGCAGTAAGGCCATTTTCACGATATTGATTCTTCCTACCCATGAGCATGGAATGTTCTTCCATTTGTTTGTATCCTCTTTTATTTCCTTGAGCAGTGGTTTGTAGTTCTCATTGAAGAGGTCCTTCACATCCCTTGTAAGTTGGATTCCTAGGTATTTTATTCTCTTTGAAGCAATTGTGAATGGGAGTTCACTCATGATTTGCTTCTCTGTTTGTCTGTTGTTGGTGTATAAGAATGCTTGTGATTTTTGTACATTGATTTTTGTATCCTGAAACTTTGCTGAAGTTGCTTATCAGCTTAAGGAGATTTTGGGCTGAGACAATGGGGTTTTTCAGATATACAATCATGTCGTCTGCAAAGAGGGACAGTTTGACTTCCTCCTTTCCTAATTGAATACCCTTTATTTCCTTCTCCTGCCTAATTGCCCTGGCTAGAACTTCCAACACTATGTTGAATAGGAATGGTGAGAGAGGGCATCCCTGTCTTGTGCCAGTTTTCAAAGGGAATGCTTCCAGTTTTTGCCCATTCAGTATGATATTGGCTGTGGGTTTGTCATAGATAGCTCTTATTATTTTGAGATATGTCCCATCAATACCTAATTTATTGAGAGTTTTTAGCATGAAGGGTGGTTGAATTTTGTCAAAGGCCTTTTCTGCATCTATTGAGATAATTATGTGGTTTTTGTCTTTGGGTCTGTTTATATGCTGGATTACATTTATTGATTTGTGTATATTGAACCAGCCTTGCATCCCAGGGATGAAGCCCACTTGATCATGGTGGATAAGCTTTTTGATGTGCTGCTGGATTCATTTTGCCAGTATTTTATTGAGGATTTTTGCATCAATGTTCATCAAGGATATTGGTCTAAAATTCTCTTTTTTGGTTGTATCTCTGCCTGGCTTTGGTATCAGAATGATGCTGGCCTCATAAAATGAGTTAGGGAGAATTCCCCCTTTTTCTATTGATTGGAATAGTTCCAGAAGGAATGGTACCAGTTCCTCCTTGTACCTCTGGGAGAATTTGGCTGTGAATCCATCTGGTCCTGGACTCTTTTTGATTGGTAAGCTATTGATTATTGCCACAATTTCAGCTCCTGTTATTGGTCTATTCAGAGATTCAACTTCTTCCTGGTTTAGTCTTGGGAGAATGTATGTGTTGAGGAATTTATCCATTTCTTCTAGATTTTCTAGTTTTTTTGCATAGAGGTGTTTGTAGTATTCTCTGATGGTAGTTTGTATTTCTGTGGGATCAGTGGTCATATCCCCTTTATCATTTTTTATTGTGTCTATTTGATTCTTCTCTCTTTTTTTCTTTATTAGTCTTGCTAGCGGTCTATCAATTTTGTTGATCCTTTCAAAAAACCAGCTCTTGGATTCATTAATTTTTTGAAGGGTTTTTTGTGTCTCTATTTCCTTCAGTTCTGCTCTGATTTTAGTTATTTCTTGCCTTCTGCTAGCTTTTGAATGTGTTTGCTCTTGCTTTTCTAGTTCTTTTAATTGTGATGTTAGGGTGTCAATTTTGGATCTTTCCTGCTTTCTCTTGTGGGCATTTAGTGCTATAAATTTCCCTCTACACACTGCTTTGAATGTGTCCCAGAGATCCTGGTATGTTGTGTCTTTGTTCTCGTTGGTTTCAAAGAACATCTTTATTTCTGCCTTCATTTCGTTATGTACCAACTAGTCATTCAGGAGCAGGTTGTTCAGTTTCCATGTAGTTGAGCGGTTTTGAGTGAGATTCTTAATTCTGAGTTCTAGTTTGATTGCACTGTGGTCTGAGAGATATTTTGTTATAATTTCTGTTCTTTTACATTTGCTGAGGAGAGTTTTACTTCCATGTATGTGGTCAATTTTGGAATAGGTGTGGTGTGGTGCTGAAAAAAATGTATATTCTGTTGATTTGGGGTGGAGAGTTCTGCAGACATCTATTAGGTCCGCTTGGTGCAGAGCTGAGTTCAATTCCTGTGTATCCTTGTTGACTTTCTGTCTCGTTGATCTAGAAAAATTTTTTAAAATTTTTTTTGCAGGGAAAATGCTGTGCATATAATTAGCAGTGCTTTTTATGACTTGATAAAATTCAAAACACCTTAAACATCCAAAAATAGGGAATGAGCAAATAAATAATTTTCCATGTTCTGATGAAAAACTATGTTTATGAAAATTTTGTGGTAACATAAACAATGTGTAAGTCACTAACTTAAATAAAATACACACTTGAATAATCTTATGATCCAAGTTATATAAAAAGCAAGATTTATCTTCAAGAAAAAAAAACACTTGGAACTCAAATTATGTGCAGCTTTTCATGGTAGAAATTTTTTTTTCTGCTTATTTTCTTTGAGAAGCATGTATTGGAAAAAAGTATTAACTTTTATATTTGAAACAAGCTTGCGTGATTTGCTTTCTGTTTCAAGTTTACTTGGAACATCAGCCACCTCTAAGCATCTTTGGTGAAGGGGGTTATAAAACCTTTAAATCTGTCCATATTATGGGTTGCTATTTGCCTGGATTTTCTGGAAGAAAACTGTAACTCTATTTCACTTCTAGGATATTATTTTTCTTGTCAAACTTTATTCATGACTACCAGTATTACAGCTCCATAATTTCTTTTTCAGATCTAAACAGAAAAAAATATAATTTAAAATTTTCTAACCTTAAGCTTAAATATATTGTGGAGAAAGATGCCAAATTATCCACTACATGTAAGTTTTCTTAAATTTATTTTTTTTTTTTTTTGTAACAATAACAGTCTGGATTGGGTTATGCTGTAACAGAAAACCTAGCAAATACTGGATTAAACAAAGACAAGGTTTATTTCTCTGAAGTAACAGTCAGTAAACAAATAGGCAGGAGAGGAATGATAAGGTCACTACGCAATGCCGTCACAGACCCAGGGGCCCTCTAGCTTTCCACTTGGCCTCTGTAGGGCCTGGCTTTTCTAGTCATGCTTTAACTCTCATTGCAAGATAGCTGCACTATCTCTAGCCTCATGGCTTGTTTCAGGTAGAAGGAAGGAGGAGGTTGAAGAGCAAAAAGTCCTTATTAACTAAGTCACATTTTTAAAGAGTTTTCATAGACACCCTACTCAAGGATGTCCACCTATATATCACTAGTCAGAACTGTGTCACAAACCACCCTTGTTCAAAAGAGAAACTGGGAAATTGGTTATTAACTGGATACATTACTGCCCTTAAGAAACTTGTTTTTTTTTTCTACTTAAAGAACAAAAATGGGGTTTTCTCTATTAAAGAAAAAGGAGAATGGGCATAAACTAGAAAACTAGCAGCAGTAGCAGCCACGGTGACTATAACTAAAAATCACCATGAAGAATAGTATGCAGAAATGATATGATTAGGCTATTATGTGTGAAGCATACTAACAATTTCTATTCATCAGAATAACATAAAAATTTTAAACTATGACTAAATTTACTAGCGATTATTTCTATCTCCTCACATAACATCACAAATGTATAAATTCCCAGCACATACTTGGATTCACACACGCATATACACACACACATACAAATTTAGAATTAGAGTGACCTAATTTCTTATTGTAATTTCATGAACATCTTGCCAATCCAGGCTTTATTTATCACAAAGGCAATGAAAGAGGAAAGCGTCAAATATAGTAACCTTCCAGCATCTAATGACCAGTACACTGTAAATCCTTCAAGAGCAGAGACTATTTCATTAGATTTAGCTCTCTTAAGACATTTTTATAAAGAATTTTTTTTAAGAAAAAAATTGGTTTACAGAATCAATGAACAAAATGAACTAAAGAATGGCTAAAAAGACTTTCTGTATTTAGCTTCCTTTGTTTGTTTCTTTGCTGATTTGTTCGTTTTACATAAGTCTTACTTAATTGGTTCTTTTAAAAGCTATCAGAAGGAAATTTCAGGATATCAAGAGATGGGATCCAATCAAAGGCTTTTGCTGAGGGCTGTTTGGTGCCCAAATGAAAACAGTATTATACAACATTCAGATATCACTGATAGCGACAGGAGGCAGCCAAATGCCTAGGCAGATGGGGTGGGTTCCTGGTGAAACCCCACCTCTAAACAAAAGACAGTTTAAAGCCTGAAAGCCAAACTGCAAGTTAAACTCTGGGACCGGATTGAGAACTTATCTTCCCATTTCACATACTTTCCTCTGATTGTTCCCCGCTCTTCACCTATTTTACATATACCTACCCTTTCCTAATTGGTTTTTCTACACTGTCATGCCCACCTTTGAGTGGTGTCTTCACTTTAACCTTTTTGCATACCTCACAAACCAGCATGTACTTCCCATTTTGAGTCCCTAAAAGGTCCTGGACCCAGCCACCATGGTGGGGCTTTCCTGCCTTCCAGTAGGGGAACCACCCCCCATATCCCCTCTCTGCTGACAGTTGTTCTGTCCTTCAGTAAAATTCTTCTCCACCATCCTTACCCTTCAATGCCCAGCATATCCTCATTCTTCTTGGGTGTGGTACAAAAGCTTGGGAACTGCTGAATGCAGGTACAAGCTATAACAGAGGTGAGCTGGGGCATGCCAGGTGGGCTGTTGCCGGTCAGGGGTCCCCAGCTTCCAAAGTGACTGAGAAGAAAAGTCCTGCATCATTACCCACAAGGTTCCAGCCTTCTTCTCATGAAATTTCTCTCTTTTTTTGAAATTCAAATAGATTTGCAACTTCACCTTTATTTTTGGCAGAAGGAGTAGTGAAGAAAAGAAGGGTTTTCCATCCAATGAATGATTGTTTTGTAGAAGTGTTCTAACCGCTTTATTACCCCACCTCCACCCCCAGAGCAGAAATGAAGGGTGTTGTCAACTCCTTTGATATAGATTTAATGAGAAGAACCCTTTCTATTTATTATAGCAATATTAAAATAGGAAGCAAGAATGAAATGTTATATTTCAATGTTGCAATGTGTCTAATTATTCATCTTTATATATAACTAGAAAGACTATTATGTGATTATTTTATGTTGGAAAGATGCACATAAATATTGATATGACCCAAGGATAATAGAAAATAGGCACAATGAGGTAATCATATTTATGTCCCACAACAAAAAAACACAATCATACATTGTTTGGCCTGTATGAGGTGCATTTTTGCCTTATGAAAGAAATTTGACCAAGTTTCAAAAAATATAGTTTATAAGTGGAAAGGACAGCCGTACTTTAAATGACCTTCAAAAATGATCACATGATGTTCTCTACTCAAAACACTGGAGGAATATATATTCTAAAATAACCAGAAGATATCTAGTTTTGAATTATAGACTCTCTGGGTCCCTGAGTAGAGACATTGTGTTCCTCTCAATAAATAACTGTTCTTTCCTACTTATGTATGGAACAGATTTTCACTACAGAAGCAGAAAATCTCATCTCGTTATTGTAGGCTTCTTGGCATACAACATAGTAGAGGGATAGGATGGGTGCTCAGGTCAGTCTGAAGTTGTTAAAATCATTTAAAAAAGTAACTCAGTAATATCTATGAAAACTTGCAAACTCACATTTGTTTTGACCCTTCAAACCTACTTTGTGAAAGCTATTCTGTAAAAATTAAAGCACCAGAATTTATGAATATATAAAAACTGGTTGTTTTAGTATTATCTATTGTGACAAAAAAATAACCATCAGTAGGGCTACTACTAAACAAATTGTTGAAATTGTGTTATATTCAATATTAAGGAATATTATGCACTGGTGAAAAAACTAAAAACATTAACATATAAAGATGCTCCTGATATACAATCAAACTTGGAGAACACAATAAATTAGTCATACTCATGCCAAAAAATGCAAACTTAATGAATCTAAATTTATTAAATTTAGATTGAATACAGTCATGCAGTGACTAAATCTTACATGGCTTCTCAACACAGTCAGATTGTGTGTAAAACCACTCGCCTTCGCCATAATTTCATCAAAGCCCTCTTCATCTCACTATTTCGCAAACTGTAGATAAGCAGATTCAGCAGTGGTGTCAGAAGTGAGTAAGACAATGACATCACTTTCTTGGTTTCCGGTGAGTAGCCAGATTTGGGTTGTAAATAAGTCATACTGGCTGTGCCATAGAATAGGGTCACAGATGTGAGGTGAGCGGCACAGGTGGAAAAGGCCTTTTGTCTCCCAGTGGTTGATGGCATCTTCAGGATGGCAAACAGAACTCGAATGTAAGACAAGAGTATCAACAAGAAAGGAACCAAAATAATCAAAAAGGTGCCTGTGAATGCATAGATTTCAAACAAAAACGTGTCTGCACATGCAAGTTCTAACACTGCTGGGGTTTCACAAGATATATGGTTAATTTCATTAAGGCCACAAAAGGGAAAACTAGATACCCATGATGTTTGAACAGTACCTAACATAAAACCTAAGGCCCATGAAAATATAATTAATTTCATAAAAACTCCTTTATTCATAATCATTTGGTAGTTGAGAGGATGGCAAATTGCAGCAAATCGGTCATAAGCCATTGCTCCCAGAAGAAAACATTCAGCCCCACCAAAAAGAAGGATGAAATACATCTGTGCAAAACAGCCCCCAAAAGAAATTGTAGTTTTTTCAGTAGAGAGGACCACCAGCATTTCAGGCATAATAACTGCACTGAAACTCAGGTCCACCACAGATAAGTTCAGGAGAAACAGGTACATGGGAACGTGGAGGCTCTGGTCTAGGGAGACGATGACTATAATAATGGCATTTCCTATCAGGGTCACCAGATAAATAACCAGGAAAGCCACAAAGAGCTGCCCCTGGAGCTCAGGATAGTTAGAAAAGCCCAAGAGGATGAATTCAACCACACAGCTTTGATTTTGTCTTTCCATTTTCAGTAATGAAGTCGTGCATTGATTTTATGGACATAGTATATACAGAATAAAGCCACAGTCCATTAGCTAAGAGTTCCAGTCTGCATTCACCCCAGAAATTCTGGCAGAAGATGAGGAGCCTATCCTGACAGAAATTTTCTTTGGCAATTTTAGACAATGACCAAATACTTGGATTATATTCCAAATATAAAAAATAGAAATGAAGAATTCTGGCTCAGAGATCTTGTCAAATAATATCAAAATTTATTTGATATTATTTGAAAATTAAACATAGCCTTAATGGAAATATAAATACTTTATACCTTAGGTTCCAATCCCATAACATTGGTGCAAGTGTTCTTTATTTAACTGAATTTTACATAAATGCAAAACTTAAGACTACAAAAAATAAAATATAAAAAAGCAGATAGATTGAAAAAGATATCTCAACAAATGTGATAATAGCCTAATAATCCAATGTTACAGCATATTTGATATAAACTTATTTAAAATATTAATTAGATTCAAAGTACCTATATATGACTTGGAGAAAGAAAACAACATTCTGTAGAAACATAGAGGGGATTTGAATTTTCAACACAACCATATTAGGTGACCTATAGACTATGTGAATTGGCTTCAAGCTTGCAGATTTCTGCCCATCCTGGATCTGGCCAATTATATTGGGATTTACCTGGATGTGAAGTTTTTGGGGCCAGATCTCCAAGGTCTATCCTTCTGACCATGATGACTTAAGAAAAAAACCATTTGGGGGATCATTGTGTAATTTAAAAGATTTCACTCTCTCTCTCCTTTTCTCTCTTCTCTCTTCCCACTATACTCGTCATCAAAAAATTCATTTAATCATTAATTATTCAACAAGCACTGATTAACCAGCTACCATTTTCTAGGCTCTGCACCCTTAGGAATACACATGAATCCAGAGCTCAACAGAGAGCTAAGCACACTACATAAAATAGCTTCTAACCCCTTAACCAGTATGCTGCATAAACTAGTACCTCCCCGTACCGCATACCCCAGGACTTTCTCTTTCTTTCTCTCTCTCTTTCTATGTGTACATATATATATATATATATATATATATATATATACACACACATGCACACATATATATACACAACTGAGTGATTCAGTTCATTGATTTTATAACATTATATGGCATAGAATATAATATATCCTCTATCCTTTTTTTAAGAAATATGTGTAAAATATATTTTAAATATTTATATAAATATAAACAGATTAATATTTTATATATATTATATATATATAAGCTCTAGTAAGGTATGTGTATGTGTATGTATATATATATATATATATATATATATAAAATCCCTCACTAGAGCTTAGCTCCCAGAGGGCAAAGATTTTGTTTGCTTCTTTGCTCTACACACACTGCCTACACTACAACCCTCCCTGGCTCATAATAGGTTTTAAACCAACATTTTTGAATAAATGAATTTTAAAATAAGAAAAACCTAGACTCTATTTTTAAGGAATAGAGTGCCTAAGAGAAGTCAGCACACAACACAATTGGAAATTAATAACACGTGCTGTAGAAATTTAAGTAAGGGAATGATGACATTTGAAGGGGGTGGAGGATGAACAAACACAATCACAGGATGTCATGAATGGAAGGCCATTAGGTCGGAGGAGGATGGCAGGAGGAGGAAAACTGACTTGCTCAAGTCAGGAGGCACTTGGTGACACCATAAAACTAGAATGGAAGCCTACTGCCTTTTGTGTGATGTTTTGAAAACCAAAAGAAATTCACTGTGAGAGATGAGGAAGCCAGGAAGACAGATGGACACAGCAAGTTGAAGGCATACAGTGCTGTCTTGAGTGCAGACCTGTAGGACATTAGCAGACAGGAGAAGACAAGTTACTTTATTTCTGAATTTGTCCATAGTCATGTATTAAAATCAAATGACTGTATTTAACCACAAAAATTGTACTGTATTTTGGATGTCAAAAAACCTCCTACAATTATTAAAACCAGACTCTGTGAGGCCAAATATTTAAAATGCATTTCTAATGGCAAAAAAAAGAACAACATGTATTCAGTTCCAACTATGTAAAAGTAGATTGGTTTTAAAAATTAGAATATTTACAGAATGTTATACAAAATAGAAAATCTTTATACCTTAGAAGATCTTCATGGTGTCTTGGATAGATCACTGACAAGTAATACTTACGCAGATCACTTCCTCCCCAAGGCTTCAGCCTGCCAATGGAAAGAGGTAAGTGTTGAACTTACTAACCAAGTTCTCTTCTAGTTGCAAACTCCAGAATATGATGATTTATGCATGCAAAGCACTTACACTTCTACTTATTGCCCGAACCTTTCTCTGAAAAGAAAAAGAAATTGACTGGCATCAAACCAAAAAGTCTACTGACTCAATGTTTCAGCTGAGCCTAGTGACTCCTGAGCACTGAGCCATCACTTCAACAACATCTCCAACTATCAAAGAGGACAACTATAAACAGAAGTCCCACCAAAACGCACAGGAGCAGAATATGCACTTTTTTACCTGTTGACTCTGTCTCTTTAATTTTCATACTACTTTATCAGAAGATTCACCTGTAGTCAAAAGCCACCTATTCACAAACACAACTGACTGATTCAGAGCATTGATTCCATAATGTTATATGGCATAGAATTATATGCCCTGGAGAATTCCTCCCTGAAGAACGTGAAATCACTTCATAGAGACCTTCCTGTATTTTTGTGTGATAACTAACGAGGCTTAAACTTGGCCCCTCGGGTGAGAAAGCTCAAGAGCACAAACATGGAGCAGCACTCCTTCTTATGTCTATGGGGAATGAGCACCTCTTCCCACAAGAGACTCAATTCCACCGTGACACCTCCCAGTAGGAGGTGAGAGCAGAGGCTGAATGAACATTGTCAATAGGGAAAGAAGGGAGGGGTGGAGTGAAGGTGTGAGCAAAGGCAGGTGACCTAGGGCTAGAGGATTCACATGGACACAATGCACAGTTTGTGCAATGGAGGGAGACATGGCAGGTAGATTAAAGGTGCTTTGTAGAAAGCCTGGATGCTCCCTCTGACTCAAGAACTTTTTAACATGGAGTCAAAATATCCTGACTGGCTTGTATAACTTTGAGCACATCACTCAACTTTCTGGTTCTATTACTTTCTCTGTAAAATAAAGATAATGATATTAATCTCATAGGATGTATATAGGAATGAGGACTCAGGGTTTAGTTTAAACTGGCTTGAGCAATAAAGGAAGCCATAGGCTCTGTCCCAGGAGACAGAGATGAATGAATCTGCAGGCTTGGCTTTATCCAGAAGGCAGATGATGTGCTCACGCCGAGGCTCCACTTCTCTTCTTCTCATCTATGGTTTTGTGGGGTAGGTTCTATTCTCAAGAAAGCCCTCTTGTCCTTGCAGCAGTAAGGCTGCCAACAACACATAGGGATATTCTCCCTAATCCGTCTCCAGTGGGAAATGTCCCAGTGATGCTGAGGAAAGGGGGTTCTGAAAGAAGCAGTCCAGGGACGCCTCCCATATTAGTCCCCATGGTGGGATTACATGCCCATTCATGAACTAGTCCGGTGCCCCAAAGATGGGAAAAGCTGTCTAATAGGTACTTTTCATAATTCCTACCCCATGACATCCCATGCAGGCTTCTGTTGTACTAATATGCTCTATAACCTGATGTCAGTGACTGTATCACAGGTGATGTACAAATTGTGAGAAGTCATCAAGATGTAGAGTCATGAATTGTACACTTTACATACATTGGATTTCAACAAAGTGTATAAAAAACATTTCAGGCACATATTTAAAAGGGTAAGTGGGGAATAATAGTAATGTTAATCTCCAATTTAAAGCCAATATGTCATGGATATAACAATAATCAAAATGTGGAGATTTTTAACACACTTTCTCAAAGTTTGAGAGAGCAAACAGACAACAAAAAATACAAAATGGAAAGATTTGAATAATAAAATGTTGATTTAACAGGTGGTAATGAGAATAAATAAGATATAGAACACTTTCATCTCATTAACTCTATATTTTTATCCCAAAATATCTATATAATATTTACAAAAATTGAATATGTGTTTTGTCAAAAAGAAAATCTCAATAAATTCCAAAATCCTGGCAATCATATATATACAGCATTCCGTGTAATAAAACTGCAAAAAAAGCCCAAAATAGAAAAGAAAAACTAGTCTTAGAAACAAACTAACAACATACCTTAAAAAACTAGATGTAAAAACTCTTATGCTCATTTTATAAAAATTATATTTATTTATATAAGTGTTTTATGTACATAGGAAGAATCACAAAAAAATAGACATGAAATAATTTACATTGGCTACTTTTAGGAATGATGGAATTGGGGGATGAGAATAGAGGTATTTTTGAGAGACACTTTTGTATTTTTATTTTATAAATCTACTGCTTGAATTTAAAAGAAATAATTTTGTAATAAATAAAAGCAAGGTTTTTAAAAATAGAAAGTGAAGTTCAGCCATGAGGTCTTTGCCCATGCCTGTGTCTTGAATGGTATTGACTAGGTTTTCTTCTAGAGTTTTTATGGTTTTAGATATTACGTTTAAGTCTTTAATCCATCTTGAGTTAATTTTTGTATAAGGTGTAAGGAAGGGGTCCAGTTTCAGTTTTCTGCATATGGCTAGCCAGTTTTCCCAACACCATTTATTAAATAGGGAATCCTTTCCTCATTGCTTGTTTTTGTCAGATTTGTCAAAGGTCAGATGATTATAGATGTGTAGCATTATTTCTGAGGCCTCTGTTCTGTTCCATTGATCTATATATCTGTTTTGGTACCAGTACCATGCTGTTTTGGTTACTGTAGGCTTAGAGTATAGTTTGAAGTCAGGTAGCATGATGCTTCCAGCTTTGATCTTTTTGCTTAGGATTGTCTTGGCTATGCAAGCTCTTTTTTGGTTCCATGTGAAATTTAAAGTAGTTTTTTCTAATTCTGTGAAGAAAGTCAGTGGTAGCTTGATGGGGATAGCATGGAATCTATAAATTACTTTGGGCAGCATGGCCATTTTCATGATATTGATTCTTCCTATCCATGAGCATGTAAATGTTTTTCCATTTGTTTGTGTCCTCTCTTATTTCCTTGAGCAGTGGTTTGTAGTTCTCCTTGAAGAGGTCCTTCACATCCCTTGTAAGTTGGATTCCTAGGTATTTTATTCTCTTTGAAGCAATTGTGAATGGGAGTTCACTCATGATTTGGCTCTCTGTTTGACTATTATTGGTGTATAGGAATGCTTGTAATTTTTGTGTATTGATTTTGTATCCTGAGACTTTGCTGAAGTTGCTTATCAGCTTAAGGAAATTTGGGGCTGAGACGATGGGGTTTTCTAAATATATAATCATGTCATCTGCAGAGACAATTTGACTTCCTGTCTTCCTATTTGAATATCCTTCTCTTGCTTGATTTCCCTGGCCAGAACTTCCAATACTATGTTGAATAGGAGTGGTGAGAGAGGGCATCCTTGTCTTCTGCCAGTTTTCAAAGGAAATGCTTCCAGCTTTTGCCCATTCAGTATGATATTGGCTGTGGGTTTGTCATAAATAGCTCTTATTATTTTTAGATACATTCCATTAATACCTAGTTTATTGAGAGTTTTTAGCATGAAGTGGTGTTGAATTTTATTGAAGGACTTTTCTGCATCTATTGAGATAATCATGTGGTTTTTGTCATTGGTTCTGTTTATGTGATGGATTGCGCTTATTGATTTGCATGTGATAAACCAACTTTGCATCCCAGGGATGAAGCTGACTTGATTGTGTTGGATAAGCTTTTTGATGTGCTGCTGGATTCAGTTTGCCAGTATTTTATTGAGGATTTTTGCATCGATGTTCATCAGGGATATTGGCCTGAAATTGTCTTTTTTTGTTGTGTCTCTGCCAGGTTTTGGTATCAGGATGACACCAAAAGCAATGGCAACAAAAGCCAAAATTGACAAATGGAATCTAATTAAACTAAAGAGCTTCTGCACAGCAAAAGAAACTATCATCAGAGTGAACAGGCAACCTACAGAATGGGAGAAAATTCCTGCAATCTATCCATCTGACAACGGGCTAATATCCAGAATCTACAAGGAACTTAAACAAATTTACAAGAAAAAAGCAAACAACCCCATCAAAAAATAGGTGAAGAATATGAACAGACACTTCTCAAAAGAAGACATACATGCAGCCAACAAACATATGAAAAAAAGCTTATCATCACTGGTCATTAGAGAAATGCAAATCAAAACCACAATGAGATACCATCTCATGCCAGTTAGAATGCAGATCATTAAAAAGTCAGGAAACAACAGGTGCTGGAGAAATAGGAACGCTTTTACACTGTTGGTGGGAGTGTAAATTAGTTCTACCATTGTGGAAGACAGTGTGGCGAGGATCTAGAATCAAAAATGCCTTTTGACCCAGCAATCCCATTACTGTGTATATACCCAAAGGATTATAAATTATTCTACTATAAAGACATATGCACACATATGTTTATTGCAGCACTATTCACAATAGCAAAGTCTTGAAACCCAAATGCCCATCAATGATAGACTGGATTAAGCAAATGTGGCACATATACACCACGGAATACTATGCAGCCATGGAAAAGGATGAGTTCATGTCCTTTGTAGGGACATGGATGAAGCTGGAAACCATCATTCTCAGCAAACTATCTCAGGGACAAAAATACAAACACCACATGTTCTCACTTATAGGTGGGAATTGAACAATGAGAACACTTGGACACAGGAAGGGGAACATCACACACTGGGGCCTGTTGAGGGGTGGTAGGTGGGGGGAGGGATAGCATTAGGAGATATACCTAATGTAAATGACGAGTTAATGGGTGCAGCACACCAACATGGCACATGTATACATATGTAACAAACCTGCACATTGTGCACATGTACCCTAGAACTTAAAGTATAATAATTAAAAAAAAGAAATTTGATCCCCAATGTTGAAGGTGGGGCCTAGTGGGAGATGTTTGGGTCATGGTGGTGGATCTCTTATTAATAGACTGATTTCCTGGGGTGATGAGGGGAGTGAGTGAGTTCTTAGTTTGTTAGTTCTGCTAGAGATGGTTGCAAAAAATAGCTTGACACCTTCCCTCTTTCTCTTTTTTTCACTTCCTCTCCCACTGTGTGATCTCTATACTCTGCCTCTCCTTCCCCTTCAGCCATAAGTGGAAGCAGCTTGAGGTCCTCATCAGATGTAGATGCTGGCACCATGCTTCTTGTACAGACTGAAGAGCCATGAACTAAATAAATCTCCCTTCTTTGTAAATTACCCAGTCTCGGGTATTTCTTTGCAGCAATGCTAACAGACTAAAACATTACTACAATTGCATTGATCTTCAGATAGATAACAAAAGATGAGTCAATTGACAAACCATTGAAAATTAAATGTGAGAACCAGAGTGTCAGTCACTCACAAAGAGGTCCTCATCTCTTGCAACAAGCAGGCAGAAAAAATGGAGATCATTTTCAGGGTTCAGTAGTCACAGTGGCTGAACTTCAATGATACCTGCATGCTTAATCAAGGTAGCTATGTTAAGCCAAATCTGGAGCCAGAGTTGGAAAAAATCTAAGGCTTTGACACATGGGATAAGAATTCTAGGTGGATGCCTCCAAAGATCTGGACTTCAAAGATATCACTAAACTTTCTAACACTGCAGAAGTGACCAACCCCTCCCTATTCAGGGCAGGAAGACTATCGAAGAGGCGCACGATCAGAAACTGCCTTCCCCTCTTTTCCTCAACACCAGGCCTATAAATATGGTTAAGTCACAGCACAGCTCAGCCAGGGAAATAAGGAAAGAATGGAACAATACCACAAAAGAACTGCAAGATCTAACAGACCTTCACCAACAAGGGGAGAACCATGGTACTTGTCCTGAGGGTGCTGGACCAGGAGGCTGGTAGGCAAGGCTGGATAAGTGAAAGTTTATTGACCTGATCTGGAAAGAAAAGAAAGGGAGTTTGGCAGCAGGGAGGTCTAGGGTAGAGGCATATTGATAGGCATATGGAGTGGGCATAAAGTGTGAAGGTCTTTGTATCTTGTGTTAACACCTGGTCAGTAGGTAAAATGACTCACCCAGTTGACAAATTAGCCTACTTCTTCTGTCAGCAACCACCCCAGTGCTGGCATGATGCCCACAAGAACAAAGTGGCCTGGCAGCAGAGATAAAGGCTATGCAAAAGCCCAAGCAACGTGGAACTCATTTACCAAGACCAACCAGATTTACTAGTTATAATGTGTAACTCCTCAAAAAAATTACAAATCAGTGCATAGACCATATACAAATATACCCATACACATTTAGAATTAATGTGATATGATTTCATATTGTAATTCCTTAAACACAAATTCAGTCAACTCTATATGAATTGAAATAATACCAGTAAACAATTCAGATATTTATGTCAAATTTCATATGTAATAGAGACCACGTAAACAATCAGTAGGGATTTGTTTAACAATTATAAACCTAAAACCAGTTTAAATAGACACACAGATATATATATGTATTGCCTATTCCCAAATAATATACACAAATTATAATGACACCCCTTCATTTAGCAGAATATGTATATCTAATCTTAACATCACAGTATCAGTTTTATTCCAATTATTTTTAAGAACAATTGAGGGAGGTAACCTGGGAAGATAGGTGACCGGATATCTTGTAGCTATCTATTTAGGAACAAAAGGAAAGGCAATTTTTTTGCCTGAGCCAGTTTCCAAGCTTAACTTTTCTTTTGGCATAGTGAGTTTGGGGTTCCAAGATTTTACTTTCCTGTCACAGACTACAAAAGGAAACTTCATAAAAGTTTCTAAATCAGTGGTCTGTAAATGAAAAAGATACTGATATTATCAAATGAGAATTTGAGAAACTTCCCATGTAGCTCTCTGGTCACCAACATTGGATAAATATTTGGAAAGATACCAAGAGAAATCCAGTTTGGGATTATAATTTGTGTAAGGTCATGAAGTAGAACCATTTTTGGCCCCCCAAAATAGATGCACTTTTTTTTTACTCATCCGTGGAACAAATTTTCAATCCAAAAATAGAAACATCATCACCTTATTTGTTGGTCTCTTGAAGCTCTACCCTGTTACCAAAGCACAGTGAGCCTTCAGGCCAGTCTGAAGAACTATAATCATTTTGAAAAGTAATTCTGCAATAGCTAATAAAATTTGTAAACACAGATACTCCTCATCCTATCAGCCGCACTGTAGCAAATCTATCACACAGGTATAATGACATCAGTACATATGAGCATATGGAACAAGGCATTTATTGAAGCACTGTCTTAATGACAGTAATCCAGGCCAGGCGTGGTGGCTCACACCTGTAATCACAGCGCTTTGGGAGGCCGAGGTGGGCGGATCATCTAAGGTTGGGAGTTTGAGACCAGCCTGACCAGCATGGTGAAACCCCGTCTCTACTAAAAATACAAAAATTAGCTGGGTGTGGTGGCGCATGCCTGTAATCCCAACTACTCGGGAGGCTGAGGCAGGAGAATTGCTAGAACCCAGGAGGTGGAGGTTGCAGTGAGCCCAGATCGTGCCATTGCACTCCAGCCTGGGCTGGAGCGAAACTCCATCTCAAAAAAAAAAAAAAAAAAAATGACAGTAATCCAGTAGCTACTTGGATGTTCATAATAGAGAAATGGATGAATAAACTGTTGTGTCATGTTATGAGAACATATGTATCTACTAAAAACAAGTGACAGCAGTTCTTTATTGAGATACGTTTTCCAATAAAAAAACTCAACAAACTTACATAGTCATACAAAAAATGCAGTCTGTTTTCACCCTTTATTAAATTTAAATAGAGTTCACTCAGGCAGTGGCCAAATCTTACTCAGCTTCTCAACACAATCAGAATGTGTGTAAAATCACTTTTCTTCGCCATAGTTTTATCAAAGTCCTCTTCATCTCACTGTTTCGTAAGCTATAGATGAGCGGATTGAGCAGAGGGGTAAGCAACGTGTAAGCCAATGAGATCAGTTTCTTGGTTTCGGGTGAGTAGCCAGATTTGGGTTGTAAATAAGTCATATTGGCTGTGCCATAGAACAGGGTCACAGATGTGAGGTGAGAGGCACAGGTGGAAAAGGCCTTTTGTCTCCCAGTAGTTGATGGCATCTTCAGGATGGCAAACAGAACTCGAATGTAAGACAAGAGGATCAACAAGAAAGGAACCATAACAATCAAAATGGTGCCTGTGAAGGCATAGATTTCAAATAAGAAGGTGTCTGCACACACAAGCTCTAGTACCGGGGGAGTCTCACAGAAGAGATGATTAATTTCATTGGGGCCACAAAATGGAAAACTAAATACCCAAGTGGTCTGCACAGTAGCCACCATGATCCCTGAGATCCATGAGAATATTACTAATTTCATAAAAACCCCTCTGTTCATAATCACTGGGTAGTTCAGAGGATGGCAAATTGCAGCAAATCGGTCATAAGCCATCGCTCCCAGGAGAAAACATTCAGTCCCACCAAAAAGAAGGATGAAATACATCTGTGCAAAACAGCCCACAAAAGAAATCATAGTTTTCTCAGTAGAGAGCACCACCAGCATTTCAGGCGTAATGACTGCACTGAAACTCACCTCCACCACAGATAGGTTCAGGAGGAACAGGTACATGGGAACGTGGAGGCTCTGGTTTAAGGAGATGATGACTGTAATGATGGCATTTCCCATCAGGGTCACCACATAAATAACTAGGAAAACCCCAAAGAGCTGCACCTGGAGCTCAGGAAAGTTAGAAAAGCCCAGGAGGATGAATTCAACCACACAGCTTTGATTTTGTCTTTTCATTTCAGTAGTTGAAACTTATATTGTTTTTATGGACCTGGTATATCGAGTATGAAGTCGTAATCCCATAGCTGTGAGTTCAAGTCTGGAATTCTTGACAGCAGATGTAATGACAAGCTCATTTTGACAGAACTTCAGGTTGGCACTTTTGAAGAATGGCCAATGACTTGTAATAGTGAATCTTTAAAATACAAATAAAGAAGTGAAGTATTTTGGTTCAGAAATCTTGTTTTTAAAGTACAAAATAACAGTAAATGTTATCTGGCAACATCTTTGTTTTGTAGGTTGCTCTCTCTCTCCTCTCTTAATGCCAAGTTCCCCTTTAAAAGCCTCTGCTTTCTTTCCAAAAAGTGAAGCAGTGTCCTTAAAGGCAGGAGCCTATACCTCTTCCCTTAGTTGGATTCTTCAAGCAAAGAGCAACTGAACCTGAGTTTTGGTTACGCCTGGATTGCGAGCTAGTCTGGAACTTGGCTGCAGTCCTAACTCTGCCACTGTCTCCAAGATGGGTCTCTGCCTCTGCTGCACTTGGGTTCCCCATCTGTATGGGTTAGAAGCAGCAGAATGATCCCTTCTGGCTCTGACATAGGTGTTTCTCTAATTTGTTGATAGAAAACTGCAGGCTGCAAGGCCTCAACTCCAATCAGATGGGAGCTGGGCTGAAGGGAACATGGAGTAGTGGTGGGTGGGCACATAGGCAGCACACATGCTGCCTGAGTCACTTTGGGCCTGCCAGTCCCATGCGGAGATGACCATTTTCTTCCCAATCCAACTGCCCCTCCAGAGCCACTCTCAGGGCAAAGCGACTTCATTCTCTCTGCTCTCAACCAGAGCAACAATCCTTGTCTCCCAGTATTCCCTTCACTGTCAGGGCCCACAAGTCTTTAAAATCTGGAGTCCTCCTGGCCTCACGAGTCCATCCCCGCTGACACGCTCCACCTCACTGCCTCTTTTCCTCTCCCTTCACCTCCTCTACCTTTAAACGGAAACCTAACTGGCTATTCCATGTTTTATACCCGTTCCTCCAATCTGTACCTCAAATTTCTGACAAAATAATATCACCCTCCCTCCGAGAAACTTCAGAGTCTCCCCTTATCAGTAAAATACAATGCCCACTTCTCAGGCTGGCATTTAAGGGGAACTAGAGTGATAACAATTGCTTTAGGAATGTAAATGAGGGAAACATTACTTCTGAATGGACAGTGAGGGTGGGAAACCATAATCACAAGATGACAAGGGTGGAAGGTCCATTAAGCAGAGGAGAAAAAGCATAAGGAGGAAGGCTGCCTTGCTCAGATAGAAGGTATTCAATGACACCTTAGTACTAGCATGGACCTCCAAACTGGACTTTGTGTGATGCTTCAAAAACCAGCAGAATTTTACTGTGGGACAAGAGGAAGCCAGGAGGAGAGGACACAGCAAGCTGAAGACATCTTGATTTCATATCATTAGGACATTAGCAGAGAGGAAAAGGCAATTGATTTATTGAGTCTGACCATAGTGATATTAAAAACCAAATATATGTTTTAACTATAACAAAATTTTTTGGATGTAAAAAATCTCCTAAAATAGACTTGGCAGGAAAAAAAAATGCCTAAGTATCATTTTAATAGACAAAACTACATTTTCAGCTCCAGGCCTATAAAACCAAATACGTTTGTAAAATGAGAAAATTTAGAGTATCCTACTAAAAATGGGCAACTTTTAAGGAGCTGATAAAGCAAAGTTACAAAACAAATCTAAATTACTGCCTTCATGAGTAATTTTTTTAAGCTGAACTTAAATGCTCCATCTTTTCCCTTTAACATAAAACAACATAATGCTGATTTAGCTAATTCACTGATATGTTCTACTGGCTCTGGCATTAACTTTCTGTATAATCTTGGGCAAATAACTCCCTCATCAGGGTTTCATCTTTCTAACCAATTGGACTTATTTCTGACCGCTTTCACCCCGCTCCCTCAACTACATACCTCTAAGAATTGATGGTTTGTGCAAGCAAACCGTCTATAGATCTAATTACTGTCGAACTTTTATGTGAATATGAAGGGCACAGCAATTGACTTTCTTACCTGAGCATTGAGTTATCACTTGATAAGTATCTCCAATTATCAGTGAGGATAACTACAGAAGGCAAACCCACCAACAAGTACCAAAGCAGAATCTTCAGATCCTTATCTATTCACTGTCCCTGATTTTCATCCCATTTATGTTTTACCTCTTCAATTAAAAAGCACTTCCTAAATACAACTTAGTGATTCAATGCATTGATTTTAAATTATACTGCATTAAATTTTATGCCCTGAGAGAAATCTTCTCTGGAGAACTGACACACAATTTATACAGACTTTCCTGTATGGGGGCAAGGAATCTCCGCTGCACAAACTTGGAATACGACTCTTCCAGGTTTCCATAGGGAATTAACACCTCTTCACATGAGAGACCCAATTCCACCAAGACCTTTCCCATTAAGAAATGAAAGCAGAGACTGAATGAATGTTAATAAATAGGCACAAATGCAGAAGGGAGAAAAGAATGTGAGCGTGAGTAAAGGCAGAGTGATTTGGACAGAGGATCTGATTGGACAAGATAGACAGTTTGTGCAATGGTAGGAAATGTGTTATGGCAAGTAAATTGAAGTTACTTTGTGGAAAGCCTGGAGATACCAAAACTTATATTTTCTAGTAGTAATATGGAAATACTAAATTTTGGGGGAAAGTCTTTTAGATAATTTTATAGTCGAAACTTTTTAACTTGAAGTCAAAACATCTGAACTAATATGACTTTGAGCATCATGTCTCTTCTCTGGCTCTATTACTTTTTTGATAAAATCAAGATAATGTTATTAACTTCACAAAGTATATGTAACAATCAGAGGACTCAGAGTTAAGTTCACACTGATTTGAGCAATCAATAAGACTATTAGCTCAGTTCCAGCAAAGTATAGGGATGAATAAATCTGTAGGCTTGGCTTTATCCAGAACTCAGATAATGTTTCCAGGACCTGGATTTCTTTTTTTCTCTATTTCTCATCTCTGCTTTCCTAGAGTAGGTTCTATTCTCAATGAATATTTTCCCTTTAGTGTCAATAAGGCTGCTAACAACACTTAGGGATAGATCCTCTCTGTATCCAGTGGGCAATGTACCAGTTATCCTGAGGATAAAGGGTTTTTATTTGTAAAAACTAATCCAAGAACCCCTCCTGTATCATTTACTATGGTGGGATTACATGACTATCCACCTATAAACCAGACACTGTGACTGTGAATGAGATGAGAAATGCTACCTAATATGCAAATTTCATGGCATTCTATCCTATAACCAGGTACAGCATCAATTCTAACTATGCATACCTGAAAATGTTTAATTTTTTAAAAATCCCCAAGGTACTGTTTATAGGAGAAGGAGGTCAAAGAATGATGGTGATTCAACACACAAATGCTCTATACATAAAGCATGGTATCCTTTAAATTATTATATGAATACAAGGAAGTGAGATGAAAGCTGAGAAACAATAATGTTGCATTATTTATTTTTGCAAGATGGACTGGACAGAAGTAGAACTAGGATGTAATGAATGGAGAAAAATCATGTATACTGTAGAGGATAAATAGTAATATATAGTCCTGGATATGAATGTGTTACATAAAGAAGACAGGATTTCAAATGTTTGTGGAAGAGAGGATGAATAAATAGAAACATGGACAGGGAAGTCCATAAATAAATCACTTCAAGGGCTTTGCACACCTTTGGAACTGGTTCCTGAGTCCAAGAGTGAGGGGAAAAGGGATATACTTACCCTCGTAAAATAAGTCAAGGAGCAAATAGTCACACACTCTATTAATGAAGAAGTCTTCTCAGAATTGACAATCCCTTCGTTGAACAAGCTGAAAACCTGACTGTAAAGGCATTGTTATGAGCCTATACAGATGTCCCAGTCCCCTGAGTCATGCAAAAAAAAAGAAAAATCCATTGAAACCCTTGAAGTGGGAAATGGGAAGTGTGATATACAGAAATTATCTTCTTTCCTGTGAGTCTGTTACCTAAGATGCAAAGCAACAGAGTAAGTGCCATCAGCAGGCAATGGGAACAGCAACAATTTTTGGGGGGTGGGGGAGGGTGTTACGATGGTGGTATTGTTGGACCTATCATTGTATGTAGGGCTCCCTTGAGAATTTCTTGAAAGGTCAGTCTAGTGGTGATGAATTCCCTCAGTTTTTGCTTGTCGGGAAAAACTTTATTTCTCCTTCCATTCTGAAGGATAGCTTTTCTTGGTATAGTATTCTTGGCCACCAATTATTTTCTTTCAGCACTTTGAAAATATGACTGTCTCTTTGCTTATAGAATTTCTGCAGAGAAACCTGCTGTAAGTCTAAAGAGGACTCCCTTATATGTGACTTGATGCTTTTCTCTTGATGTTTTTAGAATTCTCTTTTTATCTTTGACTTTTAACAGTTTGACTATAATGTGCCTCAGGAAGGATCTTTTGGGGTTAAATATGTTTGGGGACTTTGAGCTTACTGGATCTGGGTCTTCATATCTCTCCCAAGACTCTGAAAGTTTTTAACTATTATTTTGTTTGATAGGTTTTCTATGCCTTTTCCCATCTCTTCCAGAACTCTCATGATACAAATATCTGTTTGCTTAATGGTGTCCCATAAGTCCTATAGGCCTTTTTCATTCTATTTTACTTATTTTATTTTTATTTTCACTCACTGGCTAATTTCAAACAACTGATCTTCAAGTTCAGATATTCATTCTTCTGCTTGATCTGGTCTGGCTATTGAAGCTCTCTGTTGTATTTTTTATTTCATTCATTGAATTCTTCAGCTGCAGGATTTCTGTTTGGTTTCTTTTTATGATATCTGTCACTGTGTTAAATTTCTCATTCATATCATGAATTGTTTTCTTGATTTTGTTGAATCTTCTATACGTATTCTCTTGTATTTTACTGAGTTTCCTTAGGATCGTTATTTTGAATTCCTTTTCTGGCAACTCATAGATCTTTTTTCCTGTGAGATCTGTTATTAAAGAGTTATTGTGTTCCTTTGGTGGTGTCGTATTTCTTTATTTTTCATGTCTTTTGTGTCTCTGCATTTATGTCTCTGCATCTGGTGGAAAAATTGCATCTTCCAAACTTTATAGAGGGGCTTTCATAGAAAAGGAATTTCACCTGCAGTTGTGTCTTTGTGTGGCTATTGAGAAAGGTGTAGTGACTCTGGTTCTGAGTAGATGTAGTAGTATAGTCTCTGTGCAATTTCTTCAACTGCAATCAACATCAGCAATAACTGTGGGTGCCTCAGTGTTGTGGCCTGTAGAAGCTTGTGGCAGTGGCAATGGTGGCATGGGTTGTTAAGGTGCTCAGTAACAAGGGCTTTGGAGGTCCTCCTTTTCTCATTTTTCCCATAATGGGGAGAGGTAGCTGAGGTGTCTCCTCTTGGTGTCAGATCTGACATGGCCTACACGCAGCTGCAGCAGTGCTAGGTTCCAGGTGCATGTGCTCAGAGCATCTGTGGAGCTGGAGTACTAAGCTCAGGGTCTCAGGAACCTATTGTGTGACCAGCTTGGGTCTTAATGTGCAGGTTCACCCTCTGTAGTGGGGTTGGATATAGACTGCCAACAGTATCTGTGACTCTGAGGCATCCCCTAGCAGCTGAGGCCTAGAAAGTCAGGTTGTATCTATGACTCTGACCCTGGAGATTAGGACATAACACTGGCTTAGCTCTGGGGAAGAAGGGGTGCTTCAGAGGTTTGGGCCCAGGCAGCATGGTACAGCTGCAATTTGGGAACCAGAACCAATAAAGTTCAGTGGCAACTCAGGTCCCAGGGGATGAGAAATCATGCTGTGGTAACTCTAGACCTTGGGAAGGTGGGAGTATCCCAGACTCTGTGAGGCAGGTGTAGTGACAGTGCAGACTCCAGAATGGTGGATCACAGCTGTTGTTTGGGCCCTGGGGGACAGGGAGCAGCACAGTGATGACTCTACTTCCTGGGAATGAGGGGTGTCTCAGCAGCTCATGCCCTAGGGGGCTAGTCCAGCTCCAGGAGAGTAGGGTACTTGAGTTGTTTGGCCTCCAGAGCATGGTGTCTAAGCTCAGGCACTGCTCTGTTTCCCTGGGATGCAGGGTACTAATATAGCTAAGCCTTGATATGTACAGCTACTCAGCCTAGGCACCAATTCCCCAGGGGCAATGTGTCACTTCAGCTAAGGACTGGGGGCATGACCACTCTGGGTGGCCCAGGCACCATTTCCCCAGGATGCAGGGCATGCTTCTGCTTAGGCTCCAGGGAGGCATGACTGCTCTGAGCAGCCAAGGTACTGTTTTTCCAGGAAGCAGGATACTGGTTCAGCTCACACACAGAGGGGCAGAACACAGCAGCAACTGGGAAGGGTATATGGAACGACTTCACCAAAGCACTGTTTCCCTGGGAGGTAGTACATAGCTTCAGCTCAAGTCCTGTGGAGCAGAGCGTGACAGCAGCTGGAGAGGTTTTTGGAGCAGCTCTGTAGAGGCAACATTTCCTCAGGAGTGGATGAGCAGCTTTAACTCAGGCTCCTAGGGGGAAGGTGCAGCAACAACTGGAAAGGGTAGATGGGCAGGTCTGCCAAAGCACTGTTTCTGTGGGAGGGAGTATGCAGCTTCAGCTCCAGCCTGAAGGGGTGAGGTACAGCAGCAAATGGGAAGGGTAGGTACAGCTGCTCACTGGTTACAGATGTTGGGCCACTGGGTAGGGGTAGTTTGGAGCCTCAGGGGTGAATGGGTGCTGTGGTCACTCACCCCCAAAGCAAAACACACTCCAGCAGTATTCCCAGGTTCAAGACAGCATTGTAATGCATAGCTGCATGGGCCACAGTCAGGGGCTGAGACAGGGGCTGGGACACAGGGCACAGTGTCAACTCCACTGGTGACAGAGGGGAGCACAGGTATAGCTATGGACTCCAGGCAGCTCTCTTAGCTGGGCTTAGTGCCTGTGAGGACTACAAGAGTCCATAACACTGAGGACTATAGGTGTCCGAGGTGTTGATGGGGCCTGCTGAGGTGACCTTGCTTGCCTTTTCCCTGCAAGGAGAAGTCCTTACTGGTTCCAAGCTGATCCCAGCTGGCAAATGGGGTGATGGGGCCCAGGTGCTTCCTTCCATTCTCTGTGTGGCTGTCCTGAGTTTCTCTGCCCACCCAGGGTTTCTGTGGCTCCCTTGATAAACTTTGGTGCTCTCCTTTAGTTATTTTTATCAAAATGTAGTGGTTTATAGTGGTTTATTTGTTGTTTTGGCTATCTTTGTGGGGGATGGGTAGGACGAGCACTATGGACTTTTAGAGGGCTATCTTGCTGTCATCAAAATCCAAATATATATAATTTTTTTAAAAATAGCAATTGATGAAGAAGCACTCTACCAGGAAGAGGCATACCCAGTGCTCTTGCCTCTCAGGATTCCCTTTGGACACTGTAATATGATGTATACTTTGGAGAGCAGGATGGTAAGGGTCAGACAGGAGTGGTATGATACATAAACAGTTAACATTTTAGACATGAAAGTCTCAACAGTTATACATGTCCTTTAAATATTTGCTGTCCCCCAGGGTAAAGAAAGAAGCTTATACTTTACATTCTCTGAAAGAGGACCTCTTTTCTTTTGCATAGAAATATAAATATATCTATCACTGCCAAGAAAAATGTAAATTTCTGTTATAAAATCCTCCAGGAACATCACAATTGACAGTCTCTAAGGTAGCATCCCTAAAACCATAGGGACCCTAAGGGGCCTCTCCCCAGAGAACCAATCCCCAGTAATCTCTAAGTATCAGCCTGGTCTTGCAAAACTTCATGCCTAGGGCAGAGTTTCTTTCATTCTTTCCTCAGATTTGCCTTTCAGGAACTTGACTGTGGAAGCAGCAGGGAGAATGGATTTGAGGAGGCTGCTAAAGTTAACCAGGTGAACAGTGGGTAAGCTTCGGAAAAATTAAGTGGTATAGGCAATTGGATTGGTGATTGATGGAAATCTGGGAGATGAGAACAAGGCAAGAGTGACAACTAAGTTTTGGCATAAGCAACTGAGCAAAACTTAAAAGACAAAATAGAGGATTGGATGATGAGTTCAATCTGAAACACGTGAGTTTGGGGTCAACCAAGTAGAAAAGTCCAGTAGGCAGCAGGATATACTACTCTCACAATTTTTATTCATCAATTATACCACAATAAAGCTGGAAGATAACAAAAAGAAAGGAAGGGAATAGATTGAGTAGGTATAAAGGGATAAGATCTGGGCTTCTGTCTTAAACAGAAGTGCAAAGATCTCATCTGTGGTGACAGGAGAGAAGGCAGAGTAAAGGGGTACATTTTGATGGTTCTAAGCTTGGTTCACCTTTGTATTCAGACCAGTCTGGGAATCACTGACAGCTGCTAGAGCTGATAAATTCAGAAACAATTTATTTGAAGGACAGAGGAGACTTTGGGGGAGAAAGTAGTCCTGAAAAAGAAAACAGAAGGCTAAAGCTTTGAAAATTGAGAATAGTGAGGAGGCAGAAGATGTGGGAAGATGGGAATAGGGCCAGGGCAGTAAGACTGAGATTCTGAGCACAGTCTGTGTCCTCATCTTAAGGAGGCTTAATGGCAGAGTCTTAAGAGAGGGGACTGCCTTCAAACAGCAGGAAAATCAATTTGTAAAGGAGAGGTCATCTCTCTAACATCCCTGGGGACATAGAGTTTCTAAGAAAGCCTCAGTTTGGTGACCTATGGGATAAGCTGTCCAGATCTACCTTCAAGAATGAAGAATCTTCAGGAATGAAGATTTTGCGAGTGCCAGAAAGGCCTGAGCTGTCAGCCCCTAAAAGGACTGCTTCACCTGGGGCATCTGTACCTACTAACTGATCAATGTCAGAGAATAAGGGCTTGGCCCCCACTGTGACGGTCAGGACATCTCTGAAGGGTCATCCCCGCCTTCAGTCCATTGAAGCCTTCAGGAAGTCTGCCTCAAAACTCAACTTCTTTCTTCGCTAAATCCTGCCCTTCTTTCCTTCCCTTCCACAGATGTTGATCCCATTGCACACTAATCTCTATCGCAGCATTTCCTGCAGAACCTAATCTACTATTTAAACTATTTAAACAATAGTTTAAAAATATGAATGTTTGGATCCTGACAACACCAGCAGGCACTGAAGACCCTGCATGGGGGTTGTGGGACTCTGCACCTTTGCTTTAAACATAACCACTGAAACCCCAGAAGCACCTCTCTCACCAAAGATAGTATCTTGAAGCACAGCTGAAGTTCCTGTGCCTCAGTTACCTTGTCTACAAAAGCAGAGGAATTACATTAACACTCTTTAGGCTCATACCCACTTCTAGGATGCTATTCTATTTCATTTTTCTGTTCATTATGGTAATAACAAAAGAAAGAGAACAAGGGAGATAAAATAACATGAAGAAGAAAGGGCTTAATGCATTACAAAAACCAAAGAGCAAAGAGTGAAGGAGAGAGTGGCAGAGATGATTAGGAGAGGTGTGCATGCAAGCCTGGTAGGTTCATTAGGATTTTTTCCCCAATTATAATGGGTTTTTAAATATTTTCCACAGATAAAACTGTCAGAGTTTTGTTTCAAAATTACTACTTTTTTATTGTGCTAGGTGTTAAAATGAATAGATTTGGAATGAAATAAATGTCTCATAATTATCCCTACTCCTATGGAAATGATAATGTCATCTTCAAAATGAGGGAAGATTGACTTCGAGCTGTTTCAACAAAAAGTGGGTCTAATGAGCAAAGGTGTGATTAGAGCCAATCTGGTCAAGAACACTATCCACCTGCCCATGCAATCTGGCAAAGTCATAAATTCATTCCATTGGGACTGGCTAAAAGACTGAATGGATCAATACACCTGTTAAATCATTCCATAGTCAAACATATGTTGACAGCTCAAACTTATTTTTATCAGCCTGGTCTTAGATACATGTAAAAGTAGATACATGTAAAAGTTTGGATTCAGTGGCCATTTAGACCCTGTGATTACAACAGACTGTGAGTCCCTCAAGGGCAGGGGTTTTTCAGTTTTGAAGCTCCTGTGACTATCAGTGTTGCTGGAAGGTAATTAGATAGTAGATTTATTAATTGAACAGAGATATAAATGAACAACGAAAAGCATAATTAATTGATTTGAATTAATTTGAGTCTATGTGACTTAGCTTCATGTGAAAACGGATCTCCAGTGAGCATCCAGTGTATAGACAACAAAAAGATGTCCCATAAAATTTTTTTTAACATATTCTCAGGTTACACGAAGCAAATTGAATTATTCCCTTAAATGGCTAAGTGTATTCCCATTTGGAGTTTAGAATCTGATGGTTCCCAGTTGGACCCTCCCAAGTTTGAACCAACTTTCCCAAGTCATTCACAGATAAGTTTTTAGCTACAGAAATGAAAATCCTGTCTCTATTTAGTGGTATCTGGGTGCTTTCCCAAGATGGTGGCATTGAGTATATCTTCAGGCTTATCTAAAGTAGAAACTTTTCAGAAAGCAATGTAGCAATACTATATCTGTTAAAATTAAAAGTACATTTACTCCTTGATCCAGCTCTCCCCCTTGGGATATATATGCATACAGCTGTTTATTGCATCATAGTTTGTTTTGGCAAAAAAATTGAAACTGATAGCCAACAAATACTGTGTTATTGTATAAATAGTGCGATACCCAATATTATGCAGTGACTTAAAAGGATGAATTAGACCAAATGAACTAACCTGGAGAAATATCTTTGATCTATGGTATTGCCAAAATACACAGTCCTTCTATCTTTACAAATTCAAATTGTGTGCAATGGCCTACAACCAAATAACACCACAGTGTGTGTAAAACCACTTTCTTCTCCAGTTTCCTAAGTACCCTTTAGATCTCAAGCTGTAGTTCAACAGATTAGCAGAGAGATGAGCAGAAAGCAGGCCAGAGATTTAAGTTTCTTATTTCCTAAGGAGCAGCCAGATTTCACTTGTAATAAATGATATTGGTTGTACCCATAAAAGACAAATATATGACAAGAATTTTAGCAAGAAAAAAATCATAAGATTTAGGATGATGTTCATAAATGCAGATTTCATGTATATAAGCTCTAGCATTGGTGAGATTTCACAATAGGGACCATTAATTTCATTACAGCCACAATAGCAAAAATTAAGTTTGTATCCCCAAAATGCAACACAGAAAGACAAAGAAATTATTAGAAAAAAATGCAAGACTTAAAGGCTAGAAGACTCAACAACTACATGCAATTTTTACCAAGAAATTCTAACTCATTGGAGCATGAGGTGTTTTTGTTTCTTCCAATAACTATTACCAATTAGATCACGAAAAAAATCCTTTTTCCATTGCATAGCATTTCTCTTGATGACATTTTGGGCAGACTTATGTATGTTTTCAGCTAGTTAGTTGTTAAACTAGTTTCATTCTACTATTAAGAGTTTAATCTCTTTAAAAATCCAAACTTGGCTGGGCGAGGTGGCTCACACCTGTAATCCCAGCACTTTGGGAGGTGGAGGCGGGCGGATCACGAGGTCAGGAGATCAAGACCATCCTGGCTAACACGGTGAAACCTTGTCTCTACTCAAAATAGAAAAAAAATTAGCTGGGCATGGTGGTGGGTGCCTGTAATCCCAGCTACTCGGGAGGCTGAGGCAGGAGAATGGTGTGAACCTGGGAGGTGGAGCTTGCAGAGAGATGAGATTGCGCCACTGCACTGCAGCCTGGGTGACAGTGCAAGACTCCATCTCAAATACAAAAAAAAAAAAGAAAAAATACAACCTTATAACTTATTCAAATTCTTCTTCTTCCCACCTCAAATATATACTAGAGTGATGCAAACTGGGGTAGTGGAAGCAGAGTGTGTTCCCTAGACACTTATCTTACCATCTTTTAGCAAAGATGTGGAACAAATAGAACTCTCATACATTTCTTTTTTCATTTTAATTTTTATTGTAGATTCAAGGGAAATGCATGCAAATTTGTTATAAGAGTATATTGCGTGATGCTGAAGTTTCAGCTTCTATTGATTCTGTCACCCAGATAGTGAGCATAGTACCCTACAGGAAGTTTTTCAGCCATTGCCCCCATCTCTCCTTTCATCTTTTTGGAGTCCCAGTGTGTGTTATTCCCATCTTTGTGTCCGTGTGCATCCAGGGTTTAACTCCCACTTATAAGTGAGAACATGCAATATTTGGTTTTCTGTTTCTGCATTAATTTGCTTAGGATAATGGCCTCCAGCTGCATTCATTTTGCTGCCAAAGACATGATTTTATTCTTTTTATGGCTGTGTAGTATTCCATGGTGTATATGTACCACATTTTCTTTATCAATGCACCACTGATGGGTACCTAGGTTGTTTCCAAGTCTTTGCTATTGGAATAGTGCTGCAATAAACATATGAGTGCAGGTGTCTTTTTGGTAGAACGATTTATTGTCCTTCGGGTACATACCCAGAAATGAGATTTCTGGGTGGAATGGTAGTTCATTTTTATTTCTTTGAGAAATCTATAAACTGCTTTCCACTGGGGCTGAACCAATTTACATTCTCACCAACAGTATATAAGTGTTCCGTTTTCGCTACAGCCTTGCCAGCATCTGTTGTGTTTTAACTCTTTAGTAATAGCCATTCTGGCTGGTATGAAATGATATCTCATTGTGGTTTTGATTTACCATTTCTCTGATGATTAGTGATATTGAGCATTTTTTCATGTTTGTTGGCCACTTGTCTCATACATTTCTGATGGCAGTGCAAATTATTACATTCACTTTGGATATCTATTTGGCAACGTCATCTAAAGATGAAAGTACACATGGCCTACGATTCAGCAGTTTCACTCCTGCATATATCCAACAGAAATTCATACATATATTTACCAACAGACATGCACAAGAAAGTTCAGAGCATTATACTTAATAGCCAAAAACTGGAAATAATTCAAATGTTCATCAACAGTAAATGGGCAAATTGTAGTTTAGCAAAACGATAGAATATTATACAAAGAAATATTAATGAACCACTGCAATAATAAAAGTAAATCTCAAAAACATAATGGAGAGTAGAGAAAGCTAACTCGAAAGAATACGTATCATATATTTCCACTTATATAAGTTTTAAAAACAGACAAAAGTCATCTATGAGATTAGAATCCAGATAGTGGTGACCTTTGGAATGAGACAAGGTAGTGACTGGTAGAGGGCATGAGGAGGGTTCCAGAATTCCAGTGTGTTCTGTTTCTTGATCTCAGCGATGGTGACACCAGCAATACACACTTTGTGAAAGTCATCGCACTGCTCCCTCATGATTTCTACACTTTCCCAATGAATATCATACTTGAAAAAAGTTTACATGGGGGGAATTCCTTAAAAGAAAGTTATAATTAATTTCTTCTAAATGTAGAAGGAATGAGGAAGATAGGAAAGCCACCATTCTAGCCAAATAATAATAGCTGTAATCAAGACCCACAAATAGGTGCCAAAATTCATGGGAGAAATTTTAAGGAAAATCAGGACATTTACATAGTCTCAAAGTGTCTCCCCCAAAATATGTATTACTTACAAAGGGAAAATAGTAGCTTCACAGTGGAGAAGCCTGGCAGACCCCACTTTAACAAAGTGACCAAAGTTAACATTTCCAATGATAACACATATTAACATCGTGTACCTCCTAATATGATGCACTAAGAAGGACACATCATCTCTGTAGCATTTTTCTCAAAAATGTGTAACTTCAAAACATCAGACAAATCCAAATTGAGGAGCATTCTGCAGTTTACCTGACCAGTACTTTTCAAAGGAGTGAAGGTCATGTAGGGAGAAAAGGAAAGATAAAAGGAATGTCTGTCAGAGATTGGAGACTAAGAAGACATGACAGCTAAATGCAAAGTGGGATCCTGGATTAGATTCTAGAACATAAAAGGAACATTAGTGTAAAAACTGGTGAAATCCAAATAATGTCTGTAGTTAAGCTAATAGCATTAAACCAGTGCTAATTGCTTAGTTTTAATAACTGTACTATGTTTATGTATGATGTTAACATAAGTAGAATCTGGGTGAAGAATATACAGGAACAGGAACTTCTTTATAGCTTTTTGTTTTTGTTTTTTGTTTTTTAAAGATGGGATCTCACTATGTTGTCCAGGTTGGACTCAAATACCTGGGCTCAAGACATACTCCCACTTCAGCCTCCTGGGTAACTGGGACTACAGGCATGTGATATTGTACCAGGATCTCTCTGTAGTATTTTTGAAACTTTTCTATAATTCTACAATAATTTCAAATTAAAAATAATTAAAATACAAATATACTTAACACTACTGAACTGTACACTTAAGTGATTAAGATTGTAAATTTTGTGTTTATACCATAATTTAATTTTTTTACATTATTAAAATATATGCACTTTATTATATATAATAATATATATATAACATAATTTATATGTATTAATATATCTAACTGTCACCCCAGGGCACAAGTAAAGATACATTGCAGTCTGAGGAAGGGTAAAAGAAAAAATATCTTCTATCCCTTAGAATGGGGCAGGAAAAAGTTCTGGGCCCAGGATCACATACCAATACTATTAGATGTCTCCTATTCTTAGGGCAGGGTCAAGGCAACCACTACTCCTGAGACTCAGGGTCACAGCACCTGCCTAAGACTAATATGCATAAGAACGACCAAAAAAGCTCTTTTTCCCACCCCCAATCAGTCTAAGAAACACCAAATAATAAGCAAAAGAAATCTGTTGCTAGGAGAGAAGTAAAATCACTGAAAAGGCCTTACTCCTGACACTGAAAGTCATAGCACTCACTTAAGATTAAGAATTGTTGGCTGGGCGCGGTGGCTCACGCCTGTAATCCCAGCACTTTGGGAGGCTGAGGCAGGCAGATCATGAGGTCGGGAGATCAAGACCATCCTGGCTAACACGGTGAAACCCCGTCTCTACTAAAAATACAAAAAATTAGCTGGGCACTGTGGTGGGCGCCTGTAGTCCCAGCTACTCGGGAGGCTGGGGCAGGAGAATGGCGTGAACCCGGGAGGTGGAGCTTGCAGTGAGCCGAGATCGCGCCACTGCACTCCAGCCTGGGCAACAGAGCAAGATTCCGTCTCAAAAAAAAAAAAAAAAAAAAAGAATTGTTAAGGACAAAAAAGAAAGCCCCTCTTTCTTCTCACACTTCAATGAGCCTATGAATCACTAGAGGATCTTTTGAAAATGAAGATTCAAATTCAGTAGATCTGGAGTGGGCCTTGAGATTCTGCATTTTTAGCAAGCCTCCAGATGATGCCAGTGTGGCTGGGCCACAAACCACATATTGAGTAGCAAACGTCTAAAGAACTTCAGTGTTAACCAAGAGAATCCCTGTTGGCTTGAATGACCCTAGCCCTTCCTCCAAAAAACCTTTTCGCAAAAAAAGGTACAGAAAGAACCTAACTTGTTCAAATGTGAGAAATAATCAAAAGAGAAACAGCATGATATTGAAGCAGAGACTGTAAGAAAAAAAAGTTTCAGGGAGGAAATAGCATATTAAGAACAGTGACTATAAAAATGTTACTATGAAGCCAGTAAAAATTGTGGCCAAAAAAGAAAAGCCAATAATTTTAAATACCTATGAAGAAACTGCTCCTCTAAAACAAGAGTACAAAGCACAAATATAAGCATTAAGGAAATATATAGTTAAAAAATGAAAGTTATAAAATACTAGCTACCAGAGTTCATAAAGGATATTGAATAATAAATGAAATTTTTACTACAATGGTGTCCCTATCAGAACCATTAAAGAGGAGAACATACTTCTTTTTAGAAGTCATTATGAAGTTATTATTTACACAGTTGTTAAAGTACACAAATACAGGGGCAATACAAACACACAGCTCAGAGACTGGTGACCAATGCACAGGTTGACACAGATGTCCTACCTACGTTTCCTGCATACTCCTCTTTAATGGTTCTAATAGGGACACCATTTTAGTAATGACTCCTCTTTGCCAAAACATAGAGACAAATAGAAAATAGAATAAAGAAAAATAAAACAGAAAATAAAAGGTTAAATGACCACAGAAAAGTTTTAGACTTGGAAAGCAAACCAAGAAAATCCAATGTATATAACTGATCTCTTTGAAGAAGAAATACAAAATTATATATGTATATACACATTTATTTTTTAAAGACAGGCTCTTGCTGTGCTGCCCAGGCTGTCCTCCAACTCCTAAACTCAGGTAATCCTCCCACTTTAGCCTCCAGAGTGCTGGGATTACAGGTATGTGCCACCACACCCAGCAAAATTATTTTTTAAAATTCAAGAAGGCCGGGCGTGGTGGCTCACACCTGTAATCCCAACACTTTGGGAGGCCAAGGCTGGTGGATCACCTGAATTCAGGAGTTCAAGACCAGCCTGACCAACATGGTGAAACCCCGTCTCTCCTAAAAAATACAAAAATTAGCCAGGCGTGGTGGCAGGTGCCTGTAATCCCAGCTACTCGGGAGGCTGAGGCAGGAGAGTTGTTTAAACCTGTGAGGCAGAGGTTGCAGTGAGCCGAGATCATGCCACTGCACTCCAGCCTGGGTGACAAGAGTGAAACTCTGTCTCAAAAAAAAATTTTTTTCAAGAAAAGTCTAATGAAATAAGACAAGAATCTACAGATAAACACAATTTGCACCAAAAATAAGTTAAAGGTACAGTGATTAGAAATGAAGAAATTAAACTGTCATTATTTGCAGACAACATAATGTGTCAATATAAGGTCCAAAAAGTCTGCTCTTAAGCTATTAAAAAATAAGTAAATTTGGGGAAATGACAATATAGAAGATCAATGTACTAAAAAAATTTGATAAAAAGCTAATTGTAAAAACAATTAGAAAATAAAAATTTAAGTATCGCACTTAGAATTGTATTAAATACCATCGAAAGATATGAACTACAAAATATTGCTGTGAGACATCAAATGTATATAAAAAGTAGAGCTATATACAACCAATGTACATGGATTAGAAGGATCAATATTATAAAATTGTCAGTCCTCCCAAATTTGATCTATAGATTGCATGCAATTTCAATCAAAACCCAAAAATCCTAATGTTTTTCTTATAAATTGACAAACTGCTTCTAATATTTAAGTGTAGATGCAAAGGACATAAAATAGCCACAAAAATCCAGAAGAAAAGTTGTTGTTCTTCCACTACCAGGTGGCAAGACTTATTACAAAGCTACCATAATAAAAACTGCATGGTATTTGCCATGAGAATCTACAAATAGATCAATGGAAAAGAATAGAGAGATCAGAAGAGACTTATGTACACTTGATTTATGATGAAGGTGATACTGCAGAATTGTGGAGAAAGGTTGATCTCTTGAATAAATAGTATTAGACCACCTGATTATCACTACTGGGAAAAAATAAAACTTTATCTATCTCACATCATACATCAAAATTAATTCCTAGTGGTTTACCAGACTAAATATGTTAAGTAAAGCAATAAACTTTCTGGAAGTTTATATAGGAGATTATTTTATATTCTCAGGATAGAAAATGTCTTAAACAGAAAATAAAGTTATTAATCATAAAAGAAAAAATGAGTAAATTAAGAACTCATTTATCAAAAGGCATCAAGAGACTGAAAAAACAAGCCAAAAAAATAAGAAGAGATATGTGTAACACATATTAACTGATAAATGACCTAAAACCCAGAATATTTTTAATATCCTATATATCAGTAAAGTTAACCATATTTTTATTAACTAAAGTCCATACTTAATTCAGATTTTCTTAGTTTTTCAAGAGCAATTTTAGGTTTAAAGAAAAATTGAGTGGAAAGTACAGAATTCCCACATATAGTCAACAATACTGTATTATGTGCTTAAAAATTTATAAGAGGGTAAATTTTGTGTTGTGTTTTTAACACACACAAAAAGATAAAAGGACACGGGAACATTTTTGGGGGGATTGTTATGTCTTCTACCTTGATTGTAGTGATGGTTTCACAGATGTATGTGTATGTACAAATTCATCAAATTTTATATATTAAATATGCACAGTTTATTGTATTAAACTAATTATACTTCAATAAAACTTTTTTTAAATACAGAAAGTTCCTATATACCCTCTCCACCACCACCACCCCCTCACAAAGTTTCTCTTATTAACATCTTGCATTAGTGTGACACATTTGTGATCATTGATGAACCAATTTTGATACACTATTATTAACTACAAGGCACAGTTTACATTAGGATTCACTCTTTGTATTGTACAGCTCTATGCGTTTTGAAAAATTTATGTCATGACTCCATCATTATAATATCACACAGAATAGTTTTACTATCCTAAAGTGCCTGTGCCTCCACCTGGTTATCTCTCCCTGACTCTCCTTGAACCCCTGACAACCACTGATTTTTAATTGTCTCCATAGTTTTTCATTTTTCATAAGAGCATATATTTGGAATTACACAGTATGTAGCCTTTTCAGACTGACTTCTTTCACTTAGTAGTTGCATTTAAGGCTTCTCCATATCTTTTCATGTCTTAATTGCTCATTTATTTTTATCACTGAATACTATTACATTATGTGGATGTATCACAGTTTGCTTATCCATCACCTATTGAAGGACATCTTGGTTGCTTCCAAATTTGGGCAATTACGAATAAAGCTGCTATAAATATTCATGTGCAGGTTTTTATGTGGACATAAGTTTCCAACTCACTTGGGTTAATATCTAGGAGCATAATTGCTAGATCTTACATATAGTAAAACTATGTTTAGCTTTGTAAGAAACTGCCAAACTGTCTTTCAAAGTGGCTGTACCATTTTGCATTCTGACCAGCAATGAATAAGGCTCCCACTACTCCACATCCTAACAAGCATTTAGTGTTGCCAGGATTTGGGATGTTAGCCATTCTAACAGGGGTGTCATGGTATCTTATTGTGGTTTTAGTTTGCAATTCCCTAATGACATATGAAGTTGAGCGTCTTTTCAAATATTTATTTGCCATCTGTGTATCTTCTTTAATAAGCTGTCTGTTCCAATCTTTTTACTCACCTTTTTTTTTTTGAGGCAGAGTCTCACTCTGTTGCCAGGCTGGAGTGCAGTGGTGCGATCTCAGCTCACTGCAACCTCCGCCTCCCAGATTCAAGCAATTCTCCTGCCTCAGCCTCCTGAGTAGCTGGGACTACAGGTGTGCACCACCACGCCCGGCTAACTTTCGTATTTTTAGTAAAGACGGGGTTTCACCACATTGGCCAGGATGGTCTCGGTCTCTTGACCTCGTGATCCACCAGCCTGGGCCTCCTACTCACTTTTTAAGTAGACTCTTTACTTATTATTGAGTTTTAAGAGCTATTTGTATTTTTTTTTACCCAAGTCTTTTATCAGATATGTGTTTGCAAATATTTTCTCCCAGTCTTTGGCTTATCTTTTCATTCTCTTAACAGTGTCTTTCACAGAGCATAAGTTTTTAATTTTCATGAAGCCAACTAATTCTTTTTTTAATGATTCATGCTTTTGCTGTTATATCTAAAAAGTCATCGCCAAACCCAAGGTCACCTAGATTTTCTCCTATATTATCTTCTAGCAGTTTATATTAGTACTTTTGTATTTTACATCTAGATTCATTTTTTTACATGTGGATGTCCAGTTATTTCAGCACCATTTGTTGAAAAGAGTAAACTTTCTCCATTAAATTGCTTTTGCTCCTTTGTCTAAGATCAATTGACCATTTTTGTGTAGGTTTGTTTCTGGTTCTCTATTCTACTCCACTGATTTCTCTATTATTTTAACAATACCATACTGTCTTGATTACTGTAGCTTTATAGTAGGAAGAAGTTGGATAGCAGCACTCCTCCAACTTTGTTCTTCTTCAATATTTTATTGGCTATTCTGAGTCTTTTGCCTTTGCACATAAACATTAGAATCATCTTATCAATGTCCACAAAGTTATTTGCTGGGATCTTGATTGGGATTGCATTGAATCTACAGATCAAACTGGGGAAAACTAACATCTTAACAATATTGAGTCTTTCTATTCATGAACATGGAAAATCTTCCCATTCATTTACAGCTTCTTTGATTTCTTTCCTCAGAGTGTTGTCATTTTCCTCATAGAGATCTTGTACATATTTAATTAGGTTTATATGTAAGTATTTTTTGGTGTTTCCTCTGTCCCTCTGCCTTTTCCAGTAGAAGCTTCCTTTTGTGTTCCTGCTATATTATCTTTGCCCTCCTTCTGTCCATGGACAGAAGGACATTTTTGCTCCTCCTTAGGTCCATGACTCAAGCTGCTTTTGACAGAAAATAAATTCTGGCTCTGTGATTTCTTTTCATTTGAATGTTTTATCTTGAATGATACATTGTTCATCTGAATACCTTTTACCAGATTCTTTATTTTAGCTTCATACAGGGAGAATTCCAAATCCCAGGTCCTGTTGTGCTTCATAGATTCCATCTGTTCTTTAAAATGCTTCAGATCCTGCGCTAAACAGGGAGAAATTCTGAAGCAGAACTTGAGCTCCAAGTTCGAGAAGCTGTCTTTTTTCGAGATGTCCAGTAAAAACTGCATAGTGAGGGTCATCTCATCATTCCCTTCCTGCTCCTTTACCTCCAGCAGCCTTTGCACTTCTCTGCGGGACTCCTTCCCCAGCCGGCTTTGGTCCTCTTTCACCAGGTAAGACATGGCATGAAAAAAGTCCTGGAAGCTGATGTGGCGGAAGCTGTAGAACTTCTTGATGGCAAGTCCCAATTGGTAGTCGTTACTACTCAGGAAAGCGGCAAGCCTGGGGCCATCTAAATTATGTTTCCTGAGCTCAGCTTCTTCAAATAGGAACCTCTGGTGCTGAATCCCTTCAGCTGCTAGGGAGCACAGACTCCTCAGGACCCTGTGCCGGGAAAGCTCGGAGCAGCCCCCATCATCATCGGGCGGCAGAAAGGTGGAGACGTAAGCCATGAAGATGTCAGTGCTGTTTCTAGGTGTCTCTAAGACAACTTTGCCTCTCTCCATCTGCCCCTGCAGCCAGGAGCAGACCACCCAGCAAATGCCTGGAACCTGACACGCTTTGTAGAGAATGTCATTTTTCTGTACAATGTCGAAGGCACGGTCAGCTTGCTTCTCATCCGTGAAATAGGAGCTGAAGTACCTCGCCCTCTCCTCCTCAGAGAAGCCTAGGATATGGACATGACGTGCTTGTTTCAGCAAGGGCTCCAGATTCCTCAAAGCCAGGGGCCGGGTGGTGATGAGAAGGGAGCACGTGGGGAGTGTATGTCTCCTAATTAGAAGGTGCAGCAGGCTCTCCTTGGGACTCAAACCCCTCTTCTTCAACTTTTCTTCAAAGGGCCTCTGCAGCTCATCAAAGCCATCCAGGATGAACAGGAGCCGCTCTGGCTGCCTCAGAATCTCTGTGACAGGGGCTTGATTGTCCCCGCAGCACCAGAAAAGGAGCTGCTCCAGTTTGCTCTCCAGCAGCAGGACCACTTCTTTGCAGCTTACATAAAAGACATAATCAAACCGGCCTGGGTACAGAGTACCGGTGGCCCAGTCCAACACCATTTTTCTGGCGAGAGTTGTCTTTCCAGTGCCAGCCGACCCCTGTAGCACAACTAAGGATGGGGCCAGTGAGGGCTTTTCCCCTGAATCAAATAGAGCCTCCACCGTGACAGACTCCAGCTCCTGCTCCGGGAAGGGGCAGGCAAGTGATTCTGGGCTCTCTGAGCTGGGCTTGGCCACCAGGAGCACCTGGTTGTATCTGCCATTGACTCCTGCTTCCTGCCATTCCTCTAGGCAGCGCACATGCTCTCGGTATACTTCTCTGTAATCTGAGCCAAACAAATGGGATGTTAGGTAGTGAAATGGGAATTTTAGAAGGCAAAATGGCCCCTCCAAACTGACTCTGCTCATTAGTCTTCTTGTATGTCTCCAACTTGGATCTTGCTGAGATTATAGTTCTGGCTTCATGGGGAGGGGCCACTGTATGTGTGCATGAGTGTGTGTGTGCAGGCGCAGTATGCATATGCACATCTGTATGAGTGTGCAAGGGTGTGCTCTGTGTGTGTGGATAGTTGTGCATGAATGCTGGTATCCACATGTGCTCGTGGACCTTCATGTACTGTTGTGGAGGGAAGTCATGTCAGTGTGCATCAGCAAGTGTGTGTCTGTAAGAATACATGTAAGTGCAAAATGCCTGTGTGAGAATGCATGAATGTCTGAGTGTTCATGTGAAATGTCTCCATGTGAAGAGGTGAGGACAGAGAGAGGGGAAAGGAAAGGGATGCCTGAGGATGGTGAAGTGATAGGAGCCTTGATATAGTTTGGGTGTTTATCCCCTCCAAATTTCAGGTTGAAATGTGATCCCCAATGTTGGAGGCAGGGCCTAGTGGGAGTTGTTTTTGTCATGGGGGCAAATCCCTCATGAATGTCTTGGGGCCCTCCCCACGGTAATGAACGAGTTCTTGCTCTATTAGCTACACAAGAGCTGGTTGTTTAAAGAGCCTGGCACCTCCTCCCCTCTCTCTTCCTCCCTCTCTTGCCATGTGACACACCAGCTCTGACCTTGCCTTCTTCCATAACTGAAAGCTGCCTGAGGCCTCGCCAGAAGTCAATGTTGACAATATGCCTCTTGTACCACCTGCCAAACCATGAGCCAAATAAACCTCTTTTCTTTATAAATTACCCAGTCTCAGGTATTGCTTTATAGCAATACCAAAGGGACTAAGATAAGCCTGTTCTTTTTTTTTTTTTTTTTTTTTTGAGATGGAGTTTCGCTCTGTCGCCCAGGCTGGAGTGCAGTGGCGCGATCTCGACTCACTGCAAGCTCCGCCTCCCGGGTTCACGCCATTCTCCTGCCTCAGCCTCCCGTGTAGCTGGGACCACAGGCGCACGCCACCATGCCCGGCTAATTTTTTTGTATTTTTAGTAGAGACGGGGTTTCACCGTGTTAGCCAGGATGGTCTCGATCTCCTGACCTCGTGATCCGCCTGTCTCAGCCTCCCAAAGTGCTGGGATTACAGGCGTGAGCCACTGCGCCCAGCCGATAAGCCTGTTCTTGGGAAAGGACAAGCCAAATGCTAAAGATAAAACAGCTTCTCAGAAAGAGCCATGACTCTGGGTCCATGAAACCCTCCCATTTGTACGTAGCAGAGGAGCTTTCAAGCATGAAAGGAGCCTATGGGAGGGAGCAAAGGCACCAAAAGATCCCTCCCTCCCCCCAGGCACCCACAGGAAGAACCAGCAGGCCATGAGGTCCCACACCACCCATTCTGTAGTGTGGTTCCTTGAGAGATCAGGGCCACAGAAGACTTAGAAGCGCCTGAGCAGCTTGCCAGGAAGCAGCTAGGGACAGGTCTGACCCCTACATCCTGATGCTATTTCTTCTGGTTAGTGGAAATCCCTTCACCAACACCCTCCCAGTCTCTAAGACCCTTTCTTCAGACTCTCCCCTTCTCTGCCACTGCAGCTGGAGGTAAGATGTGGGGAAGAAAGGCTAGTCTTTTCTTAAATAAATCCCAGCTTTGGCTCAGTCCCCCTCCTGACAGTTGTTGGAACCCTCAGGTGGAGACCACCAAGGACTCTGGGGCACCAGGGACTAGAGGACAAGGTGACAGAAGGCATAAGGTACAGGCTACAGGCAGCTCTGGAAATGCCATGGTGGGAGGGGAGTCCCAGTGCCATCCTGCCCTCCCCTTCCCCCGCTCCACACTCACCATGCAGACAAATATGGCTGAGCTGGTCCACAAGTTCCAACAGGTTCATGACCTTCAAGCCCTTGAGGACAACTTTCACAGCCTCCTTTTCTCCATACTTTGAAATCAGTAATTCTGCCAGGTCCACCGGAATCAGGCCCTCCAACTCCCCTCTGGCCAGTGGGGGCTGGCCCTCAGACAGGGTCATATCCCGTAAGTAGAACTTTAACTTCTTGAAATCGTTCTCCTCAAGGTCACTCAAGGCCCAGAGCAATGCCTCCCGGGGCTTTCTGGCCTTGGCCATGGCCATGGTGATCTGGGGGAAGGATCAAGTCCAGACCAGAAGACCAGTGACCTGGAGAAAGAGGCAAAAGGAGAGGTCCACTGCTGAGAGGCCCACCCTGCTTTCTGGGGGCTTGGCCAAGTTATAGAGCGGAGGCCAGGGAGAGACGAGATACATGTGCAAAGCTCCAAGAAAGACAAGCAGATGAAACGCAGGGGAATTTTCCTAGTCATTCCCCTCTGCCTCTTAGTCAGGTGACACGTGACTGTGTTGGCAAATGGGTAGGAAGGTATGTAGGTGTGTTAATCTCTCAATCTCTCTCTCTCTCCCCCAAACTCTATCTCTGTCTCTCTCTCTCCCCCCACTCCCTTCCTCTTTCCCTCTCAACACGTTCTTTATTAGGCTCTGTATGCCTCCTTAGACGGATGGATTAAGAAAAAAAAGTCTAAGTTTTTTATTTTATTTTTTTTGGAGACAGAGTCTACCTCTGTTGCCCAGGCTGGGGAGCAGTGGCATGATCTCGGCTCACCTCAACCTCCACATCCCACGTTCAAGCAATTCTCCTGCCTCAGCCTCCCAAGTAGCTGGAATTGCAGGTGCCCACCACCATGCCCAGCTCACTTTTGTATTTTTAGTAGAGATGGGGTTTCACCATACGGGCCCGGCTAGACTCGATCTCCTGACCTCAGGTGATCTGCCCGCCTTGGCTTCCCAAAGTGCTGGGATTACAGGCATGAGCTACTGTGCCCGGCCAAGTTTTAAGTTTTAAAAGTGAGACTGTCCCTGGCTGTGTGAACCTATAGAAAGCTGGAGCACATTTGCTGGAACTGCTGTGGTATGGCAAGAAGGTAAAAAAAATCTACACTCAACCCATTGGCCTCACATGTCAGCCTCCTGGCCTCAGTCACACAGGGATTGCAAAGCTAGAAGTCTCCTAATTCAAATAAGGAAACAAATCCAGATAATGATAGGAAGAGGAACCGCCACCTGTGAGTGCTGACTTTGTGCCAGGTGATTTACATATCCTTTTTGATCATCTCAGAAATCGTCTCAGGAACTGTTCCACATGAGAAATTTGGCAGTCAGAGAAAAATGGTTTTTCAGAGTTTTCCAGAGCTAGGCCACCGGGCAAAGAGGCAGGATTTAAACTGGTCTATGCCCTGGGTGGAAGAGAGAGACAGAAAAAACTCAAAAGATAAAGAAATAGAAGACAGAGTCAGGAACCAGAAAGTTAGGCTAAATGTTGCCAGAAGCTGGAGACATGTATAAATACTAAAGTAACGGGAAAGGAGAGCAGAGTTTTGAATTGTGTTTCTAATGTAGAACCAAAATGTAGGCCAGGTGGCAGTCTTTGGAAAAGAAAAGCAACAATTAATAGAAAGCCTTCAGAATCCAGAAATACACCTGTGACCTAAGGCCCATAGGGAACCCATCTCAGTAGTACAATGTCACATTCATCATTGAGAGTGTTCAAAAGAGAATTTGGGAACACAGAGAGTTGTTGCCATTCAAATACCAACATTTTGACTACATACTGACAGAGAAAGAAAATGTTTGGAACATGTTAGGATACAGGGGACTTTGGTTGTGAGTCATAGGCCAGTTTGGAAAAGCAGGCCTGTGAAAGCAGGATCAATTTACAACAAAGCTTCAGGCTGCATGGGAAGACTCAGGGCTTCCCTGCAAATTTCTGATGTTGGCAGAGCTATTTAATAATTCAGGAAAGAAAAGACAACACTAGAACCTGCCAAGAAGATGTCCAGTCTAGGCTGCTTACCACAGTTCAGACTTGGGGAGCTGGAGGTGAGGCAGCGAGAACTCAGCTCCCTGATCCAGGAGCCCAGTAAGCAAAGCCTGGGGACTGAGACGAAACAGATCCCCTTTCCTGGTCCGACAGCTCTACAGGTCCAAGTTTGGGCTCTCTTAGCCCATACTCACTAGTTCACTTCTGTTTGGTGGTGCTGGTACCTACCAGCTACAGCTTGATACCTAACAGTTCCTAGTATATAGGCCTGGAACAGAAGGGCCCCTCCCCATCTGCCCCAAGCCTCTGTGAAGCAGAACCACCCACTGAATGTCAGTGGGATGACTGTCAATGGGATGGGCAATTGCTCACCAGTGGGAAACTTGACCTCATTTTTTCAAATGTTGAAGTTGAGAAACAAGGGAGGGGTGGAAGGCATGAACTATTCTGTCACCAAGAGAAAAAGAGCCCAGGAGACTTCCCACATCCCTCCCTGGAACCCACACTCCTCCTCTACCACTTAACCCCAGCCTAGGCTGGGGCAGTTTGACTAGAGAGACGAAAGAATTGAAGCACTGCCACCACCATATCCTCCGCCAGTGCACCATTTCTCTAAGTTGTTGAAATCACTGGAGAATGAAAAAGGAAGAAGATAGGAGCTCCATGAAGTAGGAATTCAAACAAGGAGAAAAACAGGCCAGGCATGGTGGTTCACGCCTGTAATCCCAGCACTTTGGGAGGCTGAGGTGCGTGGATCATTTGATGTCAGGAGTTTGAGACCAGCCTGATCAACATGGTGAAACCCTGTCTCTACTAAAAATACGCAAATTAGCCGGGAATCATGGTGCATGCCTGTAATCTCAGCTACTAGGGAGGCTGAGGCAGGAAAATTGCTTGAACCCAGGAGGCGGAGGTTGCAGCGAGCTGAGATTGTGCCACTGCACTCCAACCTGGGCAACAAAGTAAGACTTTGTCTCAAAAAAACAAAAAAGAAAAAGGAGAAAAACAAATTCCCAGAAGGCAGCCAGTCCTCTGGCCTAGAGAGCTGAGGATCCCCAAGAGCCCTGACAGAAAGAGAACAGGTTTCTCCAAAAAGAATGTCTCCAAGAAAAAAGAAAAAAGACTTGCTAGACTAGCTGATGCTATTGGCCTTCTAAAACAGCCTATTGGGAGGCTATTAGAAGGTGGAAAAAGCTAGCAGTAACTTCCAAGAAAACCAGATAAATGAAAGTAAAATAAAGAAATTACTAGCAAGAGGAGAAACAAAAAATAAAATTGGAAATATAATAGTAAACTAATATACTCAAGTGTGAATAATGTTTGCATAGAAATCATAGTGTAACCACTGAACATTGCTCTAAAATTTAAAATATAATTACATTGAAAGGATGGTGGTGGAATGTACTAGAAGAGGAAGTTGATAGACAATGCCTAAAATGTTGAATCAAAAGATAGTGATATACAGTACACATATTACTTCAAAATGCAGAGATGTAAGAAGAAATAGTTAAAATCTAATGTATTAATAGTTGTTTTAGCGAAAAGAGACTGGGCATCAGGAGAGGAAAGGACTACTGTTCCAGGGCATAAGTTTTTTAATGCCTATTGACTTTAGAAATCATAACCATGTATTACTTTGAAAAGATAAAAATTAACTTAGCAAAGAAACAGTAAGAGGTAAAGAAATGGAGTTAACATGTATAGACAAATCTCTCTGGAAGCTTGGTAACAAAAGTGATGAGAAAGGTCCTGAGGTAATATGGGAGATGTGAAGTCCAGAGAAGGTTTTGTTTGCTTTAACATGGGAAAGGGAGGAATGTACCTGGATGCTGATACAAAGCCTCCCATAGAGAGGTCAGGTTAGAAATGCAGAAGAGAAAGGCAAGCACCAGAGGGGGGAATGGAGAATGGGGATTGGGACAGGATTCGAAGCAAAGGCAAAAGATTGGCCTTTGACAGGAGGCTGGAAGGAACAGCATCCATTCATTCCTGAGGAAAGTGACAGAGGTTGTTTGGCAGAGAAAGTCAGGTGTGTGGGTTTTGTGGTCAGAAGATAAGCATGGTCATGTCTGAGTCTCCATATGCTCTGTGAAGTACATGTAAGAGTATCTCCCATGAGTGAGAGGGCAGGGGTGGTTGAGGAGAGGAGACACCTTAAGGAGGCCACTGCAAGCCTTCCCTCCTGTGCACCTCTCCTCCTCCTCCAAGGCCTCTTGTGCCCACTGCTCAGGGAGTACCCCAGAGTCCAGGGGAACAGGCAGGAATGGGACTGGCCTTTCCCAGTGCCTTGACCAAGATGAGGCTAGCGACAAAAACAAGACTGCCAAGAACCAGGACCCAGAGACCAAGATGGGAAGATAAAAGAGTGAGACACAGTTATGTAGTGAGGGTGACAGAGAGAGCAGAAAGGCCACCTACTGCAAAGGCACCAGGTCTGGAGACCACTGTGCCAGATTCAGAATCACACCTGAAGAAAGGAGGAATGAGATGCATGGAACCAACTATAATTGGAGGGTGGAGGCAAGAGATGAAATGAGTCCTCCCTGCCTATCCACCCTGGCCTGGCTACAGGCAACACTGATAATTGCAACTAAGTCCCAAAAAGGGCAGGGGTGGAGACAAAAGAAAGAGAAACCAAGCCTGGGAATAGCAAGAGATCAAAAGAGTAAAGAGTCAGAGAAGAGATACAGAGAGATATCAGAAAAATGAGCAAACAAAATAGAAAGTCAGAGAGAGATGAAGCCAGCTGGTAGGTATGAGTCTCTCACTTTCCCATACACACATACACACATACTTACACACTCACTCTATACACAGTGTTTTTTCACAGCAAACTGTTAGAAACAAGGGCAATGAGAAAAACATGTGAAGCAATTGGAGTTTCTCAATCAAGCTGCAGTGTTCCCACATTCATTATACTCTTTCCCTACCTATGGAGGCAGATCCCAAGGCAAAGTTGAACACATGTCTTCATCCTCTTGCTTCCAGGCCTTCTTTTTGACACAGGCAGGAGCTCCAACCCCAGTCTGTCCCCTCTTATACAAGGGCCCTTTGAGACAGTCCCCTCAGGCTCCCCAAAGGTCACCATCTTCTCCTTTATACCTTGGTCAGTTTTGATGGAGTTAGCACATGGATTTGGTAAGCTTAAAGGTCTTCTTGAGACAGGAGATCCTGTGGCCATTTTGGAGGTATCTGTCTCTGCTGCTAGAAGCTGTCTTTTCTCAAGAGTATTGTCACAAGGCTTTTGTAAACCAAAAAGTATCTGAGACAGGTCTCAATCAATTTAGAAAGTTTATTTTGCCAAGGTTAAGATGTGCCTATGACACAGCCTCAGGAGGTCCTGAAGTAATGTGCCTAAGGTGGTCGGGACACAGCTTGGTTTTATACATTTTAGGGAGACATGAGACATCAATCAATATATGTAAGACGTACATTGGTTCAGTCCAGAAAAGTGGGACAAGTCAAAGCAGGGAGAGGGCTTCCAGGTCATAGGTAGATAAGACATAAACAGTTGCATTATTTTTAGTTTCTGATCAGCCTTTCACTGAATACACAATTTACAGGAACAGTCACTTATGCCTTAGTCTAGCTTAGTGAAATAATGGAGCAAGGAAGCAATCAGATATGCATTTGTATCATGTTAACAGAGGGATGACTTTGAGTTCTGCTTTTTATCCACAAGGAATTTTCCCGTGGGCAAATTGTGACGGAGGTATGTAGCTTTTTTTTTTTTTTTTTTAATCTTTGTAGCTATCTTATTTAGGAATAGAGTGGGAGGCAAGTATGCCCACAGTACCCAGTCTGACTTTTCCCTTTGGCTTAGTGATTTGGGGGAACTGAGGTTTATTTTCCTTTTGCATTTCCCCACTTTTCTTTTTAAAAAGCTTTCAAAGAAAGCATTTTAGAGGAAAATGAGTCTTTGGGCTGAGGTTTTGTCTGATCTCTCATGGCTAGGATGGTTTATTCCTAGACGGGTAGGTCCCACATTATTAGGAAAGCTCATTTTTAGCAGATTGTAAAGTCACACATTCTACAAAGAGAAAATAGGGGGAGGGAAGAAGAAAAACAACAACAAACAAACAAACAATGAAGAACAATCCTGGAAAATTCATACAGGTCATGTTACTCTGAAGTCCATACATCAGTAGGCAGGTATGAAAGTGGTTTAGGTACGTAAATAGGCTGCCATTATTTTCTTCTAAAGTTTAAGTTGTTCACAAAGCTTTAAGAAAGCACGGCTTAATCTTCAGTGATTTCAAATCAGGAAAAATGGGAGAAAAGGAAAAAAAAGAAGAAGAAATATTGAAAACATTGTTTTGGAGACTTGTAGCCAGGAAAATTTTTAGAATTCAGTCTAAACTGTAGAAAGGAATAAAAACTGAAAAACATTAGGCAAGACTAGACTCTAACAAGTGTACTATAGTTTATTTTGAAACATAATTTTTCTCTCTCCAGTCCTATTTTCACTAAAGACAAGTCATAAGACAAATTCATTTGCAAAATAAGTTTTAATCTTATTATACTTGGCTGGGGTATTTTCATAAAGTCAGCAAGAATAACTATTTGTCATATAGGCTCCTCTTTTTTTTTTAATTGGCATTGCTGGAACTTTATTCCATAAGGAATCTCAGATTCAACTTTAATGCCTTAAGCCTAACCTCTGCCCACAAATATCTGTATTAATTGGGTGAATTCCTAAACTTGAATTCCCAAGAAAACTTGGGGCTCCTGGGACTATCAGAAAGTGACATTCTTTACTTACCACAGCATAATTGCCTGAGGGGTTCTTCCTGCCCACTGCATAAAGAAAGACCACGACACTGTAGTAGAAAAAGAGTTTAACAGACACAAGGCCAGCCACACCACATGGGAGATGAAATTTCTACTCAAATCATCTCATTCAAAGCTGGTAAGGTTAGAGGTTTTTCAAAGGCAGTTTTGGGGAAGGGGTGGGGGTGGCCAGGTAGCAGGTACTTGCTGCTGATTGGTTGGGGTGGAGATGAAATCACAAGGGGTTGAAGCTGTCCTCCTGCAGGCCAAATCGCTTCTGGGTGCAGCCACAGGAGTGGGGTTGTTGGTCCAGGTGGAGCCATGGGTATGAGACATGCAAAAAAGTCTGGAAACATATCTCAAAAGGCCAATCTACAATAATGGTGTTATTTGCAGCAGTAATTGGGGAAGTAGCATATCTTATAACCTCCAGAATAATGGCTGACAATTGTTTATGTCTACACCTTAGCAGGATTTAGCCTCCTCTCCTTCTCCCAGCCTGACGGCATCTCATTAGCTTTACAAAAGCAGTTGAGTTTGGGGCAAGGCCTATTATCATTTAACTATAGCCTAAATATCTTCCAAAGATAGCTTGGCCCAATAGCCCAGGAATAATTAAGGGAAAGGCAAGGTGGGGATTGTGTTAGCTTAGCTTACTGTTATACTTTTCTCACTGATATAACTTTTGCAAAGGCGTTTCAACAGGTAAGGAACCTGTACAGGGACTGTGTAGACAAGGTATGGGGCCATCTTTCCCAAGGGGTTTTCATTGGCTCTATAAGTCAACTTTGAATCCTTAAAGGCATCTGTATCTGAAAGCATGCCATTCCAGTCAAAACCTTGGTAAAATAACCTGTGTCTCCAATTGTGTCCTGTTACAAATGAAAACAGATTCTTATTGCACTTGTGCAAATGACTAATATTGCCATAAGTTAAAAATATTCACAAGTAGTTTCCAAATTTTTGAGAAATCAGGTAGAGAGAAATATGTTCCAAATTTTGTTTACGGGAGTTTACTCAATTGTTAAAAGCTGTAAAAATCTCAAAAGAAAAGTTTATTGGCTCTGAAAAACAAAGGATCAGCAATGTTTTAAACAAAATGTCATAAAAGGATTATTTCAGTCTTCTATTAGTTCAATCCATGGAGTTAACTCCTATTCTGTTTGATATTCATGAACATTTCAGCTCTCCATGGGAGTCTTGGAAGTTTTTCCTCTATTCTAGTGTCACAGTCTCCAAAGTTATTAGAAATATATTTATATAAATGTGTTATTAGTATATGTTCCCGCATTGTATGAAATTCCTGTGATTCTGATATGTCTTAGCATATGTTAACAGTAGTAATTATGATAATGTAAAATTGTTGTATGCCACAAAAGCAACCAAATTTCCTTGTCAATTGTGTCTTTATGACTGTTCTAAGACTTGTCATCCACAGTTGTTTCACTTTTATCCTTTTCAAAAGATTTTTTTTTTTTATAATCAGCTATAGGACTCTGACAGGTGTCCTTGAATGCAGTTTTCTAATAACTTTATTTTCCTTTCACACCTTCAAGGAGAAGGAGGCCTTCAAACTCCCCCAGTGGCATAGCCAGTGCTAGCAAGATGGCAGTAAGGAGTACAGGCAGGCTGGCAAAGCACATGATAAAATTACAGTGGTCATCTGGACAACTCTGATGGCTGCTTTCTATAGCATGTTCCTAAGTCTCTAGGGTGAAAGATAAGGCCTAGGCCCTCGAATACATCTCGGTGTTCAGGCTGGAGGGTGGTGCTGTGGCCTGCTCGGGACTGCTTTTCTGGGGCTTGATCACAGGACTGAGGGAAATTTGATGAGGGTGCAGCCTGCACTGCAATAAAAGGGCCTATGGTGAGATGAAACCAGGGAGGGATTACCCAAAGAAGCCAAATAAAGGAAGAGGAGCATGAAATCTGGTCAGAGAAGCTGGAAGTTAGAGCAAGATTCTGACATGAAAGGCAACATCTATAAATGAGAAATGGAATTGAAGTTGGAGGAAGTCAGTTTCCCCAGGGATAGAAAGCAGAGATTAGGAAGTGCTGGCCAGGATCCATCAGAGCCACATTGTGATGTAAGGTTGTAAGTGAATGGTTTGTTGCATCCAAGTGCACAGTACACATGAGCAAGAAGCCCCATGGTAATCAAATCTTGGGGTCTGGCCCAGCAGGAGAGAGAGAGAAAGGAATACTATACAACACTGTGATTCCAGACACCATATCATCTCTCCAGCCCAGCAATCTCCTTGTGACAATCATGGCAAAAGCCATCATTCTCTAAACTTTTTTTAATTTTTTACCTTGTAGGGAAAGGAAAACTTCTCCTCTACCCTCTTAGGTTCTTAAACTGAGACCTACAGATTAAATTGACAAAAAAAAAATTATGATTAACGGGAGAAATCATACAAATTTTATTTGATGTCAACAATTTTACATAGCATCAGGGACCTCACAGACAAGAAGTGAAAACCCCAAAGAAGCAGTTAGACCCAAAGGCTTGTATACCATTTTAACCAAGGGCTGTAAATTTTTGGAGAAGTGACAAGGCAAAGGAAAAGGATATG